>NC_000004.12:114375926-114527441 GCF_000001405.40 Homo sapiens
TCAAAGAAAATTTTAAAATGTTGATGAAATAAATTGAAAAGAACACAAATAAATTGAAAGATAAATTTCATGTTCATGGACTGGAATAATTAATATTGTTAAAATGTTCATATTACCGAAAGTAATCTACAGATTCAGTGCAATCCCCATTAAAATATCAATGATATTTTTCACAGAAATTGAAAAAGAAATCTAATGTGTATATGGAATCACAAAGACCTGAAATAGCCAAAACAAACTTGAACAACAACAACAAAAAAGAACAAAACTGGAGGCAGCACACTACTGACTTTAAAATATTAAATAATTATTATTAATATCGCTTTATTATATTATGTATTAATATTACCTGAAAACATTATTATTAAAATATTATTATCATTACTACAAAGCAAAAATAACCAAAATAGTATGGTATTGGTATAAAAACAGAGACAACAGAACAGAATAGAGGACCCAGAAATAAATCCATCCTATTTTTATTAAGATAAAAATACATATTCTGATACAGAATGTCAGAGGTGTGGCTTAAGAGTCTGCATTTCTAGTCAGCAACTCTTGATCATAGACCACACTTTAAACAGCAAAGCTCTAGGGCACCCTAGTCAGGCATGTATGTCATATCTTCCATAGATGTGAAGAAACAACGGATTGGCTGGGGGATGACTTTTCTGGGATTTTAATTAGCTGCTCAAGAGAAAATATCAGAGATGAGAGTGGGAGCCAAACAAACTTACAAACATACTCAACTTTTAGAAAAGTTTTTGGATTAAAATTATATCCTAAAAGAGTGCTTCAAAAAATTCATTCTTTAAAATAAAATACTGGACTAAACTTATCTGAAGTGTTGAGAGTTAAATTTTTGCAGGTAGGTCCCAAGGGAATCTTGATTATTTTATGCCTGATTACGTTTTACTGGAGAGGTCGTGGGTCTAAGGTTTGAATGTGTCCTACAAAGTTCATGTGTTGGAAACTTAATCCCCAATGCAACAATGTTGAGTGAGACGTGGGACCTTTAAGAGGTGATTAAGTAATGAGAACTCTGCCTTCATGAATAGATTAACGCAATTATTAAGGGAATGAGTTTGTTATGTTGGGAGTGGGTTCCTGATTTTTTAAAAAATGAGTTCAGCACCATTCCTCTCTCTCTCTCTCTCACACACACACACATACACATACACACACACACGCCTTCTTGCTCTTCTGCATTCTACCATGAGATGATGCCACGTCACGAGATGATGAAGGCCCTAGCCAGATGAAGGCCCCTTGACCTTGGACTTTCCAGCCTTTAGAACTATAAGCGATAAATTTCATTTTTTTTTTTTTTGAGATGGAGTCTCGCTCTGTCGCCCAGGCTGGAGTGCAGTGGCGCAATCTCGGCTCACTGCAACTTCCGCCTCCTGAGTTCAGGCAATTATCTGCCTCAGCCTCCCGAGTAGCTGGGATTACAGGCATCCAACACCATGTCCGGCTAATTTTTTGTATTTTTAGTAAAGACAAGGTTTCACCATCTCAGCCAGGCTGGTCTTGAACTCCTGACCTCGTGATCCACCCGCCTCGGCCTCCCAAAGTGCTGGGATTACTGGCGTGAGCCACCACACATGGCCTCTATTCTTTATAAATTACCCAGCTTCAAGTGTTCTGTTATATAGCAACATAAAATGGATTAAGACACCAGTGTAACTTTGACAGCCTTATTAGGCATTATTCCAGAAGAAATAACCCACATGGGTTCTTATTAATCTACTCATTGGTCAATGGGAAAGTATTTTCTATTTGTATGTCTTCACTTATTAGTGAAAGGCAACCTACACATTCAGAACTTTAACACTTTTTTGGGAGAAAGTATCCCCTAAAGAGATTATCTAGTTTTTTAAATCCTTTTTTTAAAATCATTTTCAAAGAAATGTCTCTTTGTGGTTTTAATGGAGGTTCAGTTTAAAATGTGGTAGTCAAAAGAAACCAATTTAGCTGCTTTCTTTGACCAGTGACAACAGTCTAATCATCGCTTGCTTAATTGGCTCTGCAATTTCCTAATTAGCATAGGATTGGCCAGAGCCTGATGTGATAGCTTACCCTTTGGCTCTTAAATTCTAGCTTTTTCTTTATTAATCAAAAGGAAAATCATCATGCATGTTAAAATCATTAAAGAAGAACTCCTTTTATCAAACCTTTAGGCTTCTGAAGTTAGGAGACATCTCTTCTTGTAAATTACGTTCTAGACTTGTTAATTTTTAAGTGAGTGAACTAATCTTTGGTGGAAAATAGGTGAGGGATTAATTAATAGAAGGTGGTAAATGTTAAAGGAATATGGTTCAGAATGAAGTTAGGTACCATGCATTCCTGCTGAGTTAACCTAAAACATAAAGTCATCTTTTATTTTCCCAAGGAAAAGATCCAGAAAGAAGTTTTTTTCACTAACTTTACCATATTAACATCTAATTTTGTATATATAATTGTAAATACTATTTAAAAGGTAAACTGAAACACAATACTATTTTAAAAAATTTATTGCAGCTAACAATGATTCATTAACCGGGCGGCTCCAAACCAGAAGTGATCTGAGAGCTCCACCAAGTGAAATGCAACAGGGAAGCTTTTACAATCCTATCATTGAGGTAAAAGAAAATAAGACATTTGACTGATTACAGTTGTACAGTTGCTTTATTTGGTTTCTTTTCTTAGAAAGTTGCTAATTATAATATGTTAATTGGCTGCTTCTGATTGATTGAGATTGAGTTCTGTTTTTCGTTAATACAGGCATTTACAAGAAACACCTCAGGTTGTTTCACTTATGTTTGCAAATCGAGCAAGGTTGAGGTAACTTATGAGCTCTAATTGGGTTTGTCAGCTCAGGGATTTTTTTCAGGCATGGTCTCCATCTTAATTAACTTCAACAATATCAACTTTTAATATTTACTTCATCAAATAAATTAACATATTTATAATCACAAATTATTATGTAATTACTTTACTACTATAAAAATATACTTTTTCACATTCCTTGAACTATTTTATTTAAGCTTTTGATATGTATTTCCTAAAGTAGTCTTCATCATTAACAGAGCTGCCTGTTGAATCTAATGGCTTTGTCCAGAGCACATTATTTTCTTACTGGTCCACACTTTTTTGAGATAAAGCACTTTCTGGGTCTGTATACAATGTTTTCACTGGAAAATTTATCCTGAGTGTATACATTCACAAAACATTAGCCCATTTGTTTTTATATTTTCCTATGAATATACATCCACTATCTCCTCAACACGACCATTTGCTGCATTGCTTTTTAAATAAATTTTAAACTTGTTTATAACCCAGCACTTGCAATTGTGAAGTCATGTTCATGATAGGAATAAATAAATCTGTATTATAGTTTTAGGGTTTTTTTTCTTTCTCATCAATTCAGTCGATCTCAGTCAATCACTCACTTGATACTAGTATTGACAGATTTTTAGGCTAATGTGTCTTCACTGAACAACAACAATTTGGTTTGGTTAGTCAAAATTAAATAAACTGAGAGAGGATCAGCAATAAGTAAGATTTTGTAAGGATTTGGATATAAAGTAACTATCCCCCTCTTATCTGAGAACAACAACAAACAAATAAACAAAAAACAACTTTGCCTTATTCAAACATGCCGAGCAATCTTAGACTTCAGTTCACAGAAATTTTAGCATTGTTTTGAAGTAGTTTGTACTAATTTTAATCACTTCTGAATTCTATATTCAATTTTTCTTATATCAAAAACTGATTATGATTAACAAGAACTATTATAACATGGAACCCAGGAAATTATCTGAAGATGTTCATATATTATATAAAAAGTGATATATAGATATAGATTTATCTATCTCTCTAGAAAGATAGATGGATAGATAGATAGATAGATAGATAGATAGATAGATAGATAGATCGATAGATAGATAGATACATGGATACCTGGAGATATATATATATACCCACACACACACTCTGTTTTACTACAACAAGGTCCCTGTACAATAGACCCCTCTTCTTTTGCAATAAGGTATTTTTTGGTCAGGAGAAATAAATTTACAGTTATGGTATCTGAAAGCAAAATTAATTCAAAAAGGAGCATTTAATCTTAGGAATTTTCCATTGCCACTGATTCCTAATCCAGAAACTTCTAAATTTGACCATACTTTAAACTATTGTGTTTCCCTGTATATTAACTGGCTTTTGCCATGACAACAAACAAACCCAAAATTTCCGTGGTTCTGTCAATACACACTTTTTATTGTGTGTATTGGGTTAAATCCAGTGGGGGCTACACACCCCACTGGATTTAACCCAGCTCCATGAGTTCTCTCACTCCTGGAATTTTTCTGAGGGAGTCATCATCTGAGACATGATATTCTCCTGGCAGAGAACAACTGTTCAGATGGGACAGAGTCAACCCAGACAAGTCAATTAAAGCTTCTGTTTGAACGGGTGTACGTTACTCCACTCACACTCCATTGGACAAATCAAATGACATGGCTAAGCCCAACACCAGCATCAGTGGGGCAGAGGGTTTATTTCCTGCTTATGAGAAAGCATGGCAAAGGTAAGGAGAAAACATGTAATTGTGAGTGAATAATTTAGCCTATTCTACTCTGTTAATTGATAACTTAATTGATCACTTTTCTGGTTGTCTTGTAATTTTTTGAATTTGTTTAAATATCATTAGAACTAAAATTAATGTCAGTACGTGTGAAGGACACATATTTCTTCTGACTACCTACAATGACCCTGAACTTGGTTGAAGATCACATTTAAAAGTTGAAAGCAGATATTGAATATGTTTTCTGATGTACTTGCAATTTCTTATAATACCATTTATAATGCTTTCTTTTATTCTTTTTAACTTCTCAGAATAATTTTTATGAGTAAAGCTTAGTTTGGAGTTTTTTCTTCCTGTACTATTTCTGTCAGTGCAGCATCCAAGTCTCATTCTTCAGCTCTCCTAGAGATTCTAGGAGATATTTAATTTCCTTTATTATTTCTGCGAAACTAGCTAGACTAAACTCTTTTCTATATATATTCTATGGAATGGATATGTAGCTTCAAGGAAATTAATGTATAAGAAGGTACCTAGCATATGGTATGCACTAAAAAAGTGACATCTTTTTTCAAATTCTGTGATTTCACTCTGAAAATGTTGATATATTAGATTCCTTTAAGAAATACGTTATTTTTTTGGTATGATCCCCTCAATTTCTTAAGAATTCTTTACCCTATTTTTTCTCATTGTTTCTGCAAGATGGGGGGAGGTAGGGAGAAGGAAAGCAATTTTTCTACCACTCTCTGAAGATGTCTCTAAGCCAATTGTTATCTCAGATAATCTAAGCTAACTCCAACTTAAAACATGGTACTTCATTTTTCCTTTAAGTATACTTTTATATATAGCATACATGTTTTTATGTTTTGGTTCATAAACATGAATCCTTTAATATATTATAATATCCTTAAATATAACTACTTCATTTGAATATGAGGGGACTCTAACTCTGAAATCTGTCACCCTGTTATTGTCTGGATTGAGATGGTATTTGGTCTGCCTGGTTGACATTGTGTGTGTCTTCCCTGAAGCTGCATGTTGAAAAAGGTCATGAACCCAAACACTGAAGAGCTGTGCAGCCATGGTACAGAAATAACTGTCCTCCCTGCTAGAGCCTCCAGAGTATGTGGGTTTTGTGAGGGAGGGAAGGGAAATGGAGCACCTGACAGTACATGGACTACCATGTTAGAAATTTACGGAGTCTGCAATTCTCAGATATTCTCTTTAAAATAGATATAACATTTATTTTTACAATTAAAAACTCATTTTATCTAAAATATTCCATATTTTAAAAGATTTTTACATTAGAAAAGAAAGATCAATCATGATTCCATCTCCTAGAAAAAAACCACCATTAGCATTTGGGGCTTATGTATCCTATTTATGTACATTAATTTTATTTCAAAATGATTTTATACTGTACACTTTTTTTCCATTTTTCTTTAGAGTCACTTGCTTACTGAACTGCAAGCATCCCTCATGTAGTAGCTAGTTTAAACACCAGTTCATTAAACATATTGCAAACATACTTTCTCAGTTGGAGTTTTCTTTTTTAACTTGCTTAAGAATACTTAAGAAGCATCTTTTCTTTCTATTGTTCATATTTTTAACCAAATAATGAGATACTGAAAATAGATTTTAAGGAAAATTTATCTAGCAGTGGTAGGCAGGCTTGTTTAAACAGGGAATGCTCAGTTAGAAAAATATTCCAATAATCAAATAATAAAACAAGGGTTTGTAATCAGAAGCCAGAGAAGAAAACAAAGCACAATGAATTAATGTCAGCTGCCTTTGAAGGGAAAAATTATAGCAATTGGTTCAATGTAGGATTTAAAGGGATGTAAGAGTCATAGATGTGCTCAAAGTTTGAAACTGAGAAACATGTACAAGTTCTAGAAGTAGAAGTGTTTGCATGCTGAACATTTGCTTTTCTCAAAGTTTGTTTTACCTGATTTGAAATAAATTAAGTTTAATGTGACAATAACCTATATATCTGAACACTGAAGAGTTCTGAGAAATGCTTTTTTCCTACCACCTCTTTGATAAGCATTTTGAAATAATGAAACCTATGTTTTGTTCTATTTCATTATTTAGCCATTATTTGTGATGTCAGCTAGAGGCCACTAAGTAAAGAGCATTTTCTCAGTCTTTCCTATAATTTCCTTCTAAGGTTGTGTTATTCATTGCATCCTATGTTGGTCCAGGATCATAGGTGAGTGGTTGCAGTTATCTGCTGTGACATGAGATTACGGTATCCAATCTGCTTCTGTCCTTGCCCCAGTGTTTTAGAGTCACCACTCACTGCCATATCTAAGCTCAAACCTAGTACAGAGCTGAAATCATAAGCAATAGTAAATGGCTTGGCTGATCAGAGTCCTGAAAGAGAAATGTTGAAAGATCAGGTTCAAGAAGGTGTGAGGTGGAGGCATTAGGTCACTCACTGTGGAGATATGTGGCTTCATATTGCATGTTAAAGTATACTAGAGACCTTCTGCCATGGAAGAGGCACTGACCATCAGGGTAAACAAAACTGACTGGCCAGTTAACATGAGCCAGCTTCTGCCATCAGCCACCTTCGTGTTGGCACAAGGAACTCATGAAAGAAGCATCAGTGATGGCAGAGATGAAGACTATGCAAGAGGCAACAGCTAGGACCTATAAAACATAAGGTCCATCACCACAAAATTCCACGTAGTATTATGTCAGACCGAAGAACCTACTTTATAGCAAGGGAAGTGTATAGCTGGTCCATGACACATGATCCACTGGTCACATTACGTACTGTGCCATTCAGAAGCTGCTGGCCAGGCAACACAATGGAATGGTCTGCTGAAGGCAAAGCTGAAGTGGCAGTTCAGAGGAGATGTGCATACCATTCCTCCAGGACAGAGTGTCCACTTGTTTCCAAGGCCTTTATTTGTGATTCTGTGTCTTCAGTAAGTATTATGCATGAGTCTTGGAGCCAAAGTGTAGAAGCAGGATTAACCCCCTTTATTATCACTATTAATGACTCACTTAGTGATTCTGTGCTTCTTTTCCTTGCAACTCTAAGTTGTCTTATTCCAAGAGAACATTTTCACCAGGACACACAAGAAAAGCCCTGCTGAACTATAAGTTAGTGGTTGCCTCTTGGATGCTTTATGCTCTTCTTGCAAGTGAATAGAAGACAAGAAGTGGAGTTAGCATATTGGTAGGAATCGACTCTTTTCACCAGGAGAAAGGTGACACAAAAGGACGAGGAGGAATATGTTTCCTACTCTGCTAATCACTTGGACATCTCCTAGTATCCTTGTGCCAAGTTTTGGATGGTCAATGGACAAATTTAGTAACCTTTAACTGAGAAGGGCTTGAAGACATGAAGCTCAGAAACCTCAAAGACAGTGGTCCAAGTCACACAGCAGGAATGAAAGATTTAGTCCCTCAGCTGCTGGGAGGGATGCCAGAACAAGGCCTTCTTTTATTCAGCAGCAGCCTGAATCCAGTGACTCATTGCAGGGGGGTATGAAGGCTCATGTTCCTCACCCCAGTTCAGGAAAATGTGAAAGGACTGTATCAAATAGAGATCTTCCCATGAAGTTACCTGGAGCTAAGAGTACATTCTAATAAACATCTTCTCTGAACCTCTATTTCAGAGTCTGATTCTTGTGGAATCTAACCTTCAACAACATGAATGGGTGCTAGCTCAGACATTGCTGAGAATGTTATGCACTGCTATATATGATATAAATACTGTATTCCTCTTTTAAAATCTGAACATTTCTTAATTCTAACGCATATTGGCCCCCAAATTTCAAGATAAAGGATTGGAGACCTGAGTTTACCAAATGTAATCATTCTAATCGTTTGTAAGGATTAGAGAATGAATTTATGTTTGTCTGTGACCAACATTTCCACCTTTTGTCTGTCCTTTCTTCCTTGCAAAAATCAGTCTTTCTCTACCACTGCTTGACTCAGGAATTCTGTGATAGGCCTTGTTCTACAGGAAGGCTCACTTTTCCTTCTCATAATATCCACACATAAATATCTAGAAGACCTGATAACTATTCTTCAAATTTTAATAGATTATATTTTTCCAATATGTAAGTATTTCCCAAGGAATATCCTCCTAAATCATCTATATGAAAAATAAAAATAAGCAAACTCTTCCATTAACAGCCCAAGATTATGTAAAGAATTCTTCTTGACATGTTACAGAAATTGCTTGGTAAGGGTGGAGAGTAATCAATAAAACGCTTCTAAATAATGATTAAAATTATGCATTTTATCTACATTTCTCAAAAAAAAAAATTGCGTCCATAAAAACAGAACAGGTTTTAAGGGTTATCTGGCACTGTAGCTCCACCAAGTGGTAAACTGACATGAACCGTTAAGATTATATTCTTAAAATGCATTCAGTCCCAAAGTCAGTTTAATTTCCATACTAGAATTTCTATCAAAGCTGCATTTATAATTAAATGTCTTTTTGTTTCCTAGTACAACTGAAACTATTTTTAATTTGGAAATTCCAATGATTTTCTTTATGGGAAGAGATAGACGATTTTTTTTTTTTTTGGCATCTAGAAACTGACGAAATCACATTTTCCCACTATTTACATTTTGATTCTTCGAATATTTTTAAATTACTATTTGCTAATGGAAAAGGCTATTGCTAGGCCTCAGGTCTTCGCTGACTTTTGGCCAGAGACATCATCAGTTCCTTACCACGTTGGCCTCTCCATACGACTGTCCACATCATGGCATTTTGCTTGTCTCAGAGCAAGGATACAAGAGAGAAAGAAAAATAAGGGAGGAAGAGCAACATGGAAGTCAGTCTTTTTATAGCTCCTCACAGAGGTGACATCTCATCACTTTCGTCGTTTGTTCTGTTAATTAGAAATGAGTCACTAGGTCTAGGCCGCACTCAAAGGGAGAAGAACGTACTGCAGCGTGAGCACAAGGAGGAACTCAGGGCCATCTGAGAAGCTGCCTACTACATGTTGCTTTCCTGAGATAAATATAACCTCTGAAATTATCATCGCTTTATAAAACCTCAAACAAATTAGTATTCATTCTCAAAAACTAATAATTTCATTATTAATAGTAGCGTTTACTATGCTCCAGATACTATTCTAAACATAACCAACATATTTACTCAGTCATTATTAACTCTCTAGTACTTGAAACACTCCTATAAGCTAATTACTAATAATATTCCCATCTTACAGATGAGGGAACTGAGACACAGAAAAGCTAAGTAATTTGTTATGATTTGAAACTAGGTCATCTGGCTCCAAGGTGAGTAAAGGTTTAACATGGTTTCTGTTTGCCTTACAACAGAAAATTGTAAATAGAAGATGAGAACTGCCATTGAAAGTAGAAGTAAAAACAGAATTTGTTCAGTTTTCCATACTCTACTGAATACATTTTGTAACAAAATTATGTTGATTCGACTTCTGCTTTGCCTACAGTAGCCCCAGTTTGGCCAGTACCCTGGCATAAGTAATTCTCAGTAATAATTATTGTTTAATAATGACTCTTTCACACTCAAAAGTGTCCTGATTTAGGTGATAGAATATGTAGTCATTAAGTATAAGGCTATCAAAGGGTCTCAATATGTCTGGAGAACATCACACGTGTTGCTATTGGAGAAAATTTACTCTTCCCACTACATCCCCAAGTGATCTTCATGTGGTCCTAAGGGTTGATAATCACTGTTGTAAATGGAGACATTAGGCAAAGTCATTAAATTACCTCCCCAAATCACAGTTATTTCATTAAAACCAAATAGACTCATTATTATTCTTGGCTTTATATTTCATTTCTAAATCCCTTTATGATCAAATATATAATATAGAATGGAAATACTTGGGTAAAAACTATAATAACAAGAATGGGAAAATAATATCACAGTGTGGTTTATCCTAGTTAGAGGGGAACGGAAATGATTTAGTTAACTCCCATACGTATGTAGAGGCAGAAACTGAAATATTAATTATAAATATACTGTGTTGTAGAACGTGTTTATCACTGTCTTTTTAAAAATTCAATGTAAATGTAGCAATCTGGTTAATTTTATCAGTAAAAATACCCCAACTGGATTATAGTCTAAAATTTTGCAGAGGAAAAAAAAAAAAACCTTATAGATTACCTGTGTTTATTAAACTAAGTTGCTAAACAGGTGAATGCGTACAGCATCAATAAAACACAATGATTATTAAAACTGATAACAATTAAACATTAAGAATTATTGAAACAGATAGCACAAAGTAAATGTGTGGAAAAGATGTAAAATAACATGCAAATATCCAGATAATGTCATAGCACAGAGAAAAGTTGTGGTTTGATCATTAGCCAGAAGAGGGCACTATGTGACTGCCAGATGTTGATATGCTGTTATTTATTTTTCGTTTTTTTCACTTTTATAAGGGCATACTATATATGTATATTAATCCAGAAGGAATAGATCTATGGAGGTGGAAGGGAGTGGTTTACGGTCATGAATTATAACATCCAAAAACTATACACTGAAATATTTTAATGAAAATTTTTTATGTGAGTGTTTAAAGTATTCAGTGTTCATTCCACCTGAGAATTTAACAAACTTACAATTTCATTGTACATATGGTTACTGTGTTTTTATTACAGCCAAGGCGGTATTATAGAGAAGGGTTATCTATTGTTAAAACCCGAAGGACCCTAAAAGTCCCCTGGTGAATTTCTTCATTCTACAGAAGATATAACTGAAGTTCAGAGATGTTATGTAATATGTCCGAGATGCCAGGACTGTTATATCATCTGAGGCTCTTACTAGGTTGAGTTCTCCTCTAACCCTCTGGGATTAGCCCTTCTATATTCTCTATCCAGCTCACCTCATACCAGAGCATCATCACTCTGAGAACTGAGGTGGGGCTTACTGACCCAAGTCAAAACTTTCGGCACAACTGGCACCGCCAAAAGAAGTAGCAACTCACTCCTAAATATTGAAGTTTAATACAATGAAATATAGGTATTTTCACTGTGACTAAACTTAAGAAATGTTTCTGGCAAAACACAAGTTTCTATTTTTCCAAATGAAATCTAAATACTCCCCAGTGAAAGGGGATGGGCACAAGAGAAGATAGCAAAACCCCACACCATTCTTCCTGTTAGCCCAAGTAATGTTGGTCTCAGATGACAAAATGGTAGAATTATAGAACTAGAACATTAGCAATCAGTATGCCTAGCCCTCTTATTTATAAATGTTTTATAAATGAAGAATCTAAGGTCTTTGAAGGTTAAATGATTAGCTCAAGGACACAAACCTGGCTAGCGCCAGAAGTGTTGGATCACTTAAGGCCTGTGGAAGACAGAATTCTATCTACAGTGACCTTCTTCCCCAGCATTACTCCCATGATTATATTACCTTAGGAGGCAAAAGAGATTTTGCAGATGTAATTGATGTTACTAATCAGTGGAGATTATCCAAGTGGGTTTAACTTAAACGCATAAGCTCTTTGAAGGAGAATAATTTCCTCCAGCTGTGGACAGAAGAGGACATCAGAGATTTTCAAAGGGTGAGAAGGATTCCATGTGAGGAATGTTCTCCATTGTTAAAAAGTCCATGTGGCGAGGGTAACAGACGACCTTTAGGGACTGGGAGCAGCCCTCAGCTGACAGCCAGCAAGAAAACACCTATAGCTGCAAATAATGGAATTCTGCCTTCAACCTCAATAAATTAAGTAGATTCTTTTCCAGAGTGTCAAGATTCCAGCCCTAGCTGGCACCATAATTGTGTGCTTGTGAGACCCTAACCAGGGAACCCAGTTGAGTCCTCATGGAATTTTGACCTACAGAACTGTGAGATAATAAATGGGTGTACTTTTAAGCTGCTTATTTTGAGTAATTTGGTACACAGCAGTAGAAAACTAATACTAGGTCTAACTTGAAAACACAAAGCATTGGAGATTTTAAGATACAGGGACTTCAACATAAGAATTTTGTTCTATAGATGATGGAAAAGCAGAGAAGCTGAGTGGAAGGTGGCAAGGCAACTCTGAGCAGCAGATGCAGGAAGAATTATAGAACTAGAACTAGCTTCATCTACGCTCTGGTCAGAGGGAATCTTGAGATCATGGGAAGTGAATTTTACCAGAATACAGGAGCTGGAGTCACACAGCAGCAGAAGTTGGAAACACAAAAGCCTATCCATGGGCACTGAAACCACTGGGTGAGCTAGCAGCTGCCAGACACACAAGCTGAGATATTGGTGCACCTCTCTTCTTTTCACCTTCCAATCTTCTACTAGTGCCTCCTGCCATTGACCAGCCCCAGCTGAAAGCCAGCTGTTACAGGAGCCTAAGAAACACAACCTGCAGGAGTCAGCATCTTTTCACATAGAGGAAATCAGGGAAAGGACAAGGAATAGGTCATAAGGCAAACAGACCTTCAGAATCAACAAGAAGACAAGGGAGTCAGAGTTAGGCACTGCACTAGATAATTTCTTTGTGTTATCTCAGTTCATAGTTGGTATTAATAACTTATTTTTTTTTGTATTTCTATTTTACAGAATAGGAAATCAGGGCTTAGGGAGGTTAAGAAATTTGCCCCAAATTATAATGTCTTAAATAATAGACCTGATTTTAAATGTAAGTTTATATAATAATCATAAGCCAACTTAAATGGGCTTACTACAAAGCTCTACAAATCCTTACCAATTGAAGCAGTAGAAAACACCAAAAAAAAAAAAAAAGGTAAAATAAATTGCATGCTATCATGCCAAGGGTCAGGGTCCAGCGCAAGCTGAGGTCTGAGGGGAGTAGGCAGACTGGTGGCAGGTAGCTCAAAGAACACCTGGGGCCCGTAAGCAGGTGAAATGTGGCTTTATTATGCTGTATCTCTCCATCAGTCTGTCTTGGCTGCCCGCTCCGGCTGCAGCCCCTCTCAGCAGCTGGCTCCGTGGCTCCTGCCACCCCCATGCCTGCAGCTGCACTCCCTGACACACACGCCATTTCTTGGCTCCCCTCTGTCTGCCTGCAAGGCAGTCAGCTCTCTCTCTCCGTCCACCTGCACAGCAGATGACTTTCTCTCTTTGTCCACCTGCAAGGTGGCCGGCTCTCTCTCTGTCTGCCTGCAAGGCGGCTAGCTCTCTAATGTGCACATGCACTCACAGTGTTAGCAGCTTTATTCTCTTTCCCTCCTCCTGCATGACAGAGGTGGCAGGGCAGTTATACTACTTACAGATAATAGTGGCTCAGAGACAAGCACTAGCTCACAGGAATGGTTACACAATAAGCAGTATTGTGCACCTGCACTCCAAACTTACTAAGTCATGTTGGACCAGATGTCTGCCTCAGCCTACTCTCAACTGTAGCACATCCATTTTCCTTACACATGCCATTTTAAATATTTTACTTTATTAAAGAATTTTCTTTACTGAATATAAAATATATTTTAGACCCTTATTTTCAAATGTTCTACAGTTCAATTTCTTGGCCACCCCCTAGGGTTAAGTTTGTAATTTCTTCAGCCATAATATAAGAAGTTTCCTATTGTAAACACAGAATCAAATCTGCATGAAGCCTCACAAGATTAATTTCTATACATATTTCTAAAGTTATTTTCTGTGGAGTTGGGTGTGGTGGTTTGCACCTGTAATCCCGGGTATTTTGGAGGCTGACTGAGGCAGTAAGATGTTTTCAGCCCAAGATTTTGAGATCATCCTGGGCAATATATACAGACCCCATCTCAAATAAATAAATAAATAAAAGTTATTTTCTGAGATTTACATTTTGAACATCTATGTTATAGTAATCTTAGTGTGTAAGAACTACTTGCTTTTTAAATGTTAATTTAAAATACAATAATAAAATATGCACTGATATAAACATGCTAAGAAAAATATATGTGCATATTAGAACAATGGTAAGTTGAGTACAAAAACATTGACTAGGGTATGGAAAACGTTGGAACTTCTATTCATATTTAATTTTTCCTAAAATGAGGAATAAATTAATGTTTTCTACTCTTTGACATATGGATCAATGCTGATACCTTCATCAGATCTGCAGTTCAGATCCTCAGAGATGTGTGACATCCCTAATACATCCTAATACCCCTAATGCATCCTAATGCATCCAGGGCATCCTGGTCTAATGAAGGCACCATTCTTTCTTTTGGTCTTTTGTAGGCTCTTGCTAAGTATTAAAGTCTTTGCCCTCCCAGTTAAATGTATTTATAGATAATATAATATTATGCAAATTGTACTCACATTTACTGAATAATATCTAAGTGCTAAGCACGATTATAGGCGCAGGGAAAATAGCAAAGATCAAAATAGATAAAATCTCTAGTCTCAAGTAACGTATTTTCTAATATAGGCTACTAACATTTACCATGGTAGGCAAGATAAGAAAAAATTAATTAAACATAAATACGGATGTTCATTTTTTAAATTTAGGCACTATAATTCACCCTGCTGAAAAAAGCCTTAAGCAGAGTTGCAAAAGAAGAGCTATTTTCATAATTTTCATACACTTCTCCTTGGGCAAATTTTCTTCTCTCATTTGCTGCAATCCCCACTCAAGGGATGCTTGTGCGCCTGATCCTAGGGGCTGCCAAGGGCACTCATCATGTCACTCCATTCTCCGTCTCTTTCCTTGGCGGTACCAAATGCTCATTTTGATTCTTGATTCTTTCCTGGTTTTAAAATATACCTCTCCTATTCTCTTAAGACAATTCTACATAACTCCCTAATTTAACACATTGTTTTGATCAGGATGTTGTAAAATAAAAACAAGTTAATAATGAATTACTAAGGAGCATAGAATAACCATTCTATTAAATAAATGTACCTGAAAATTTTTGATGCATATTAGAATATAATACTAAAATCTACTTATACTTATTCACAATTTATAGCCTTTTCTATGAACAACAAATCTGTCCTAGCATTCTCAAGGTAATCAATCTCTTGGAAACCAAAGACAAGAAACAGATTGAATAAGCAAAAGTAGGTCATCACTATTTGTGACAGACTTACCCACGAAGAGCTGCTCTTGAATGGAGATCAGGGATGTGCTTCCGTCATTGCAACAGGCAATAGTCAATGTTATACAAAACACTAACATCAAAACAAGGCTAAGGTAAAAATAATGGCTTTTCATATTGCAACACAGTGCGGGAAAGTTGTTTTAGCAGAAATCTGTATACTAAATGTTCATGCAGGATTTAATCTTGCCAGTATAAAAGGTCCGAATGCCTTTTACATATAGACCCTTAGGACAGATCCCCATGAGGCTTTATCTGTTTCCTCTGCTCCACCTCACTATGTAATTATCTCCCTCATTGTCATCCCTGCTTCCCCCAACACAAACACACACACACACACACACACACACACACACACACACACACTTTGACCACTGTCCAACAAAAGAAAGACAGAAATGACTAATTAACACCCAAACCAAGTATAAACCTATCAGGAAGAAGCAAAGTGATTAAAAGGATGGGGAGCTGCAGAAGACAATCTATAGTGGAAGTGACTGCTGATTGTTAGTGGGTAGCCATGGAGGTGCTCCAAGCATTTAAAACTGAAACCATATACATTTTGGATAGACTTTAATGAAATAATAATAAAAAAACACTCCCATATTTCTACCCCTTTGTAGACACAAAAGCAAAGTAACAGTCTGTTATTTCAGTTTCCCTGGCTAACTTGATCATATGATCATGAACTTTTATTCTCTCCTTTCCTCAACAGGCGCAAAAATGCTATTAATAGAATAATATGGGACAGAAAAGTGGATGCTACTATCCAAAATGTTTGAATATAGTTTGTATCTATATCTAATAAAAATATTCATTATTCTAAAAGAAATAATACTTCACCATACCATCTTAATAGTTAACAGAATGGTGCCAATGAGAAAAAAAATGTACTTAGCACAAATTATAATTTAGTTAGAAAATGCTTACAAGTAAAGAATTGCACAGTATGCATAGTAATGATTTCACAGCTAGACCTATTTTGTGAGAACAACATTTGAGATAAATACTTTAACCAGAGTATCAGAATTATGTTACGCTGGAAGTTTACTTTGTTGGTTTCCTTCCAAAGCCCCCACATGAGATGTCACCTGTGCAGGGTGTTTTGGAAGTTCAAGTTGTTTGGCAAGGATTGTTAAAACATTCTTAAAGAAAGATAAATTGCTTCTGGGAAAAACAAAAGTGATATTCCTGAGTGTGTCTAAGCAAATGAGGTTAGGATGCTACCCTTTTGGACACAAAGCAGATCACTTGAAATATCCTGTCTATAAATCCATCGAACTCCTGCATTGTTTGTTATCCCAGACACTAAAAGCTAAGATATTTTTATATTTCTGAGGAGAGGCAGAATTCTGGGGATGACAATTGTAAACCATGAAAACTGTATTAGGCAAATTATTGAATTATAAAAATTGAGAAAGAAAACATAGGTCCTAAAGGGTTTCCAGGACATTTCTCTTAATAAAGTGTGTGAGTTGAAAGTAAAGAGTGTTTCCATTTTAGTGCATGAGTGTTAACTGGTTTTAGAGCAAGTCTTTGAAAGAGTGGAATGTGCTGAAGATACCTGTGCCAAGTTCTTCATCATCCATTCTGGTAGTGGGCTTTAAGATTTTCAGTTAAGTAATGGAGTTTAACAAAAGTGTGCACAATGAAGAAGGGAACATGGAAATTTATCAGGAAAACCAGTGTACTTCATATCAGTATTTGTGAAGAAGCATTAGCTGCCAGAATCTGTAAATCAAAATCAGAGACAAAATGTTTTCTTAATGTTCTCACCAAATGCAATTAACTCCACTTGAGTGGAAGAGAAGCTGAGAAGACAGAAAATGTTTGAGGCCAAATAGGTTGACAGGAGAAGTGACTAGCACCAAGTATGTGTGTTAGTGAGTGAGTGCAGACAAATCAATGGGACTCCAGAAACCCGACAAGAGGAAGGACTCAGTCTAAATTCCAGGCAGAGATTGCCCAGCTCTTCTTAATAATATATGCACACTCATGTAATCTCTAAGTGCACATTCCCAGATCATAACTCCTTTGAGTTGGGAAATATAAGGAATGCTTAGAGCAATCTTTAAAAGGGCTCACGGCCCTCACTTGGTGACAGGTGGATCTTGCTGATTACTGAGTTTAGTGTCACATCTCACATCTCTGTAAGCTCATACTACCTGCACCCCACCTTCAAGTTTCCTTCCATATGAATTGTTCAAAGGTGCTGATTCAGATAAAGGAAGATCCTTATAAATTTGTGTGGACACACCCAGACACTTGAAATTTTTTTGTGATTATCAGTCTGTCTCACCAATATTTCCTGAAAGACGTACTATGGTTTAGCCTCTGTGGCTTGAATACAAAGATAAAAGTTTAAGAATTGATTGTGGTTAGCCTAGAATTTCCAGAGAAGGTTTTGAGGGTGGCTGAATGAATGCTGAATACTTCTGTGTGGGTGTGGCCTTGAAAATATTATTAAAGTAGATCCAGTACATATTCAGCACCAGTATCAGCTTGTTGTTAAGTATTTGCTTACTACTATCACAAGCAGGTTATAAGAATAATTTAGCCACACTCCAAAAGTGTTCCAGAAATGCTAAGACATAGAATATCTAAATGCAAGAAAACAAAGGAAGGCCATTTACAACTCACAACAGCTTACAGTTTGTACCAATCCATACTCCCTAGGAGCCCAGGAAACTGAGTTTGAACAACTTTAACTTCAATGGTGCACCAGCTCCTGAGCTGTGAAAGAGTTCACTCTCCATGAGAGGACATGTCCTATGCAAGATGAGAGTACTGTCTAATAAGGCAAAACCTTTCATTCATACGGTAAGTTTCAGAGGATTTTCCACTAAGAGATCAGTAATTTGAGTTTTTTTAAATAGATGTATACAGCAGCTAATTCTTCAAGTTCATGTTCTTGTTCATTCTTGATGGAGGAACCAAATCTAGAAATCCAGAGAAGGAGGGATAGTTGTGTTATATATTTCAAAATAAAAGAACCAATAAAGATCAAACTAATACAAATGGAAAGGCTATTCAGGGCACCCTAAGAGAAGAAAAACTAGTGGCTTATGTCTTACAGAAGTTCCTAATTTGCAAAGCCTCAGATGAGAATTCTCATTCAAATAATTTGCTAAGAAGTTGGTCTCAAGAGAGAGGGAGTTAGGAATGCAAATTCGAGTTAAAAAAAAAAAAAGCCAGGAAATAAAATGGTCTCATTGGCAGACTAGCTTTAGTCAGATTTGATAGGGAAGCTCTGAAACAGCTCTTGAGATTGTAATCTCATAATTATATTTTGAGGGAGTAGAGAGTTAAAAAGGGCATATACAGCTGGTAAAGGTGGCTCCTATTTAACCAAGGGCAATTCTCTGGAGAAGGGGGCACCTGTTCATTATTATCCCCCAAACCTCACATCACCCAGAGGATGTGTACACTAACTGGTACTAGGGAACTAGGCAGAGCACCAGTTGCATCCACTATAGTCCACTCTTCATCTACATGCTTCTCTCATTAAGTTCAGTCCATCCAGACACAGCTTCTCCAGGATTCTGATCAGTCACAGTTCTTAGGGAAACTTTTAAGAGGCAAGTTAGTAGGTTTTACTATAGTTTTTTATCTTTTAGTTGGTCCTAAGAGCATATCTGATATTCAACATCTCCCTCTTCCATGACACATTCTGGATTCCCTTCTGCTTTGGCTAGTACTTTTGCTGATCTATGTGACTTTTTGTTGGGTGAACCCAGACCTTCATAACTCACCATGAGGCCCTGGTTTTCACATCCTTATCAGGCTGTGGTTGCTGAACTTACCTATTTACAGTTCGTACTGGACATATCAAGACATCCTAGTAGATCATTTTAATACTTAAAATATTTCTATTTATTGTCATTATTTAGTAGTAGCTCTACCTCCTACTGATGACTGGGTCTAATGTCATGCCAGTATGAAAACTCTTTTTTTTGGCTTACTTTTCTACTGGCATGAGAAGTCCAAAGTGATCAGGCAGAAGCAAAAGCGTTAAGTTCAGTAAGACTCTTATTATGTCCCCGGGTAGAAGCATCCCTGCTCTGAGAATTGGGGCCTCTGGACCTACTGAATCTAAAAATATAAGAGTGAAGCACAATTTCTCCAAATGGATTATAGAGACCTTTGGTTGATGGAACTATTCTTACTTTTGCCTCTTGTATGAAGAATAGTCTTTAAAGTGGTCCCCTATGATCCCAGCCTATTACGTGTCTTTGTGTGATCTCCTCTCCTTGGGTGTGGTGGGATCTATGACTTGCTCCTAACCAATAAAATATAGCAAAGTGATGAAATTTGTTTTTATTTCATAGGGCTGATGCAACAAATTACCACAAACTGTGTGGCTTAGAATAACAGAAATTTATTGTTTCACAGTTACGAAGGCTAGGAGTCTGAAGCCAGGATGTCAGCAGGGCCATGCTCCCTCTAAGACCTGTAGAAGAGAATCTCTCTTTGCCTCTTTCAGCTTCTGGTAGTTGCTGTTAATCTTTCACATTTCTTGTCTTGTAGCTACATCACTTCTCAATCTCTTCCTCCTTGTGCACATGGCCACCTTTTTTGTGTCTCTGTGAATTCATGTGGCCTTCTTATAAGGACACAAGTAATTGGATTTAGGAACACCTTCGCTTATCCATTATGGCCTTATCTTAATTAATTGCATCTGCAAAGCACCTATTTCCAAATAAATTTATATTCTGAGGTTCTAGATGGACATGAATTTGGGGGGAGTGCTATTAAACCCAGTACAGATGTCATTGCCATGATTACATTAAGGAGATATTCTTGATGTCTTGATGCAGTAAACAGCCACTTTTGGGAATGCCCAAATAGCAAGAAAGTGTGAGCAACCTCTAGAAACTCTGGAAGACTTCTAAAAGCTAAAGGCAGCCTCCAACTGATAGCCAGCAAGAAGCTGGAGCCTGAGTCTTAACAACCATAAGGAAATAAATCCTGACAACAACTTGAGTGAGTGTTATGAGTTGAATTGTGTCCCTTGGAAAATATATCTGAAGTCTTAACCCCCTGTACCTCAGACCATGATGTTATTTGGAAATAGGTCATTGCAGATGTAATTAGTTAAGATAATGTTCTACTAGAGTAGAGTGGGCTCTGAATCCAATATGACTAATGTCCTTGTAAAAAGAGACACAAAGGGAAAAGATGGCCATGTGATAACAGAAGCAGAAATTGAAGTAATGCATCTATAAGCCAAGAAATGCCAAAATTGTCATCAACCATCAGACATTAGAAGAGATCAAGAAAGATTTTCTGCTATAGAGGAAACATAGCTCTGCTGATATCTTCATTTTAGACTTATAGTTTTAAGAGCTGTATAAAACAATACATTTCTGTTGTTTCAAGCTACCTAGTTTGTGGTATTTTTATGGCATCCCTATAAAATAATACAGAAAGCTTTGAAACAGATTCTTTCGCAATCAAACTTCCAGATGAAGACGTAACACAGCCAATACCTTGATTGAAGTCTTGTGAGACTTTAAGCAGAGAAAAGCTATGCTATGCTCAGAGTTTTGACCACAAAAACTGTGTTGTTTGAAGCTGGTAAGTTTGTGGTATTGTTTGAAGTTGGTAAGTTTGTGGTAACTCATTACACAGAAATTTTGGACTTATATTTTCACAAGATCAAGACATAACATTGGGGAGATAAAATGGCTACTTTTTTAAATGTGGCAAATCTGTTGTAAGGTAGTGTAGATTCCCTGCTACATGTAGATGTTTTACTTCAATTTCTGACTCTGTCTTCACATGCAGGTCTTCTCCCTGTGTTTCTGTCTTCTTATATTAGTAATATTTGAATAAGAACCCACCCTACTCTGGTATAACATTATCTTAATTAATTTCATCTGCATTCTGAAGGTTGAAATACCATTATCAAGGCATGTTATCTGCAGGCTGGTGCCTCCACTGTGTTTTCAAGAGGTTGGCAACTTCTAGATGGTGTGCTTTATGGTAGAACCAGTAGATCTCATGGGTCACCTTTGTTTTAAGGTGTTCTCATGGTCCACAACAATGTTTTACAGAATCTCTTCTTTGTAGATTAGATATTGGGAACACTTAGATACTGGTGCTGGATGAGAAACTGAGCAGGGAGTCAAATTCATATGCAGAATATGTTTCACACTCGGTCAGCTTAACCTTTCCAGAATAGAATAGATCTGATATAATCAACTTGCAAACAACTAACTGGTTGGTCTCCTTGGGTATGATACAGTTTGGGGGCATCAGTGTTGCTCTCTGTTTCTGGTGTATTGGACACTCAGCAGTAGTAGTACAAGAATCAACCCTGGTAAGACAGAACCCATGTTGTTGGGCCTGTGCATGGCATCTGTCCCTGCCTCCATGTTTCCCTATTTATGAACCCTTGTAAGCAGTACTGTGGCTCCTGACAGAGTCTGGCTGGCATTAATGGGCTGAATCATCCTATCTACTTCAATCTTCCACAGTGACTACTAAAATATAGGCTCAGTTTTGTTTGTTTGTTTGTTTGTTTGTTTGTTTTTATTTGTTAACCTAGATTCCTAAAGATTTCTTCTGTGTTTTTGTGGCTTCATAGTTAATGATTTGAGCCCTAAGGCTTCCAAACTCTGCCAATTAGTTTGTCTGAGTAATGAACACATTCAAAGTTGAAGCCTCTTACAAGTTCCTTTGAAGAACATGAACAGATAATGTATTTTCCATCTTTGTCTTGCAGACTCATTCAAACAGACCCTTCCTTGAGCCTTTAGATTTCCTCTTCTACAGCTTTCCTACAGCAGTCTGGTATCTCTCCTTTATTTCCCACAGGCCACTGCATTCAAGAGCCATCTCTGCAGCATTTTAGAATCAATTCCTGAAGCTCTGTCCAAAATGTTAACTCCTCATAATGAAAGATTTTGCACTATCTGGTTCCCACTTTGATCCAACAGCCAAAATACCTACTCCAAGGCATTCTCTTTTCATTCATGCCAATACACACAGCCTGACTTTTCCTACTGTACTGTCAGTTAATAATTGTCTATGACCCACAGCAAGACTGAAGATAGCTTGCATAAATATATGGCTTCCACTTGGCTGAGGTTAATTCCTTCCAGAAGAGGGAAGCTGATATCACTTTCAACACTGAGTGATAAACAGCTGGGAAAGGGGCCCTGGGCAGGCACAAGCAGCATTCATTTTACTCTGTATCCACTAGAGAAGGTAACAGTTACATGCATAAAGTAAGACACTCCCCAATCTCCATTCTTCTGTATACTCTGTTGCAAAATTATTACTAGAAATAAAAGTTTTAAACCTTCATACATTCTGAATTTCATGTCTCTGATGCTATATATTGTAAGGCTATATTAATACAAACTGCAGCACATCCCTTAGCAATAGTGTCATACTGTAAGAGTTATCTTTTGTAATTTCCTTTTATTTATGCCATTTAATGCCAGGAAATTCCTACTTAGCAGTTCTCTCTGACTTGCAGAGTAGAAGTCATCTTATCTGACACTTAGGATAAAATAATTGATTGGTTATTTGAAATTGTTATTTGAAGTAACATAGTAGAAATGAGGTAGGATTATTTCCCTGACCCCTTCGGAGGACTTGCAACAGAGGTGCCTTATTTACTCAGCTCACTGCTCTCAAACCCTTGCAGGAGGGAGCACGTGAGTGAACAAGGCAGGAAGTGGAATGCATGCATACTGGACCTGCTGACCACTTTGGCACCAGCAGGAGCAAACTCCCTGCGGGCCCCACAATGGCGTCCAGGTAGGGGGTGCCTGCAAGCACTGAAACACCAGAGGGCATGTTACAGTGCTCTTTTAGCTCTGCTGTCCATGGATGGCTTAAGTGTTAACAGCTCAGTGAGCCCTTTGCCTTGTCACATGGGGTGGCTGCCCTCCACTACGAGGGCAAAGGGCCAATGTGACAGGCTTTTGTATCTACACTTGGTGGCTCCCGAACTCTTGTCCAGCATTTAGAAAAAATGAGGTCATGTGAACAAGTTGAAGGATGGTAAATGTGGGGGATTTTATTGCTGGTGTAAGTGATTCTCAGCAGGAAGTGGGGCTGAAAAGGGGATGGGATAGGGAGTAGGTAATCTTCCCCTGAAGTCCAGCCATCCCTGGCTGGATTCTTTGAAGTTACACAGTAAAGCTGTCCCTCTGAAGTCAAGCCGCTTTTCTCTGATGTCCAGCTGTAGTCCCCAGTGTCCAGCTGCTTCTCCTCTCTGTTGATTGAGTCTGGGGGTCTTTATAGGCACAGGATGCGGTGGTGTGGGGCATGGGTGGTTTAGGAAAAGACAACATTCTAGCAGGAAAACAGAGATATAAGTTCCCACTTAGGACCGCAGTTTCAGGCTTTTCGGCAAGAGGATGGGGTTTTTGCCGTGGACCTGGCCCTTTCTGACCAGAATTTCTTTGCCCTCTGTCCCTATCAGTAAGAATGTATAAATCTCTTAAACATTTTATTTTATTTTATTTTGAGTTGGGGTCTTTCTCTGTTACCCAACCTGGAGTGTGGTGGCCCAATCATGGTTAACTGCAGCCTCAAACTCTTGGGCTTAAGCAAACCTTCTACCTCAGCTTCCTGAGTAGCTGAAACTGCAGATGTGGAGCACCATGCTCGGCTATTTATTTATTTATTTTAGAAATGAGGTCTCACTATGTTGTCCAGGTCTATCTCAACCTCCTGGCTCCAAGTAATTCTCCCACCTCAGCCTCCCTTGGCACTGGGATTGCAGATGTGAGCCGCTACACCTGGCCTTCTAAACATTTTATTTTTATTAAAACATACAATGTACATTTAGTCAATTTAGGGAGAAGGCATTTTCTATGAGGGTGAGGTCTGTCTCATAGACTACATAGTAAATTTAGTAGTCAGTCTCTACTAAATGCATCCAGTTTTGTTTTCTCAAAAGTGAAGCAAAAAAGGGTCTAATTTAGAAATTTATGTATTTTATAAATTTTCCAATCTTTTAGGATTGCCTTATTCACCTTAAATGAGCAGCAACATTTTTAGCAACTCGCTATTACCAAATATTTCCAAAGCATTCATAGAAACAACTATCTTTCTTTGTATACTCATTCATTTGTTTATGCAACATTTAATTAAGTTACATAATTACAGTGGCAATTACAATAAAGTAATGGGTCTTGGGACAAGTATGACTAGCTCTTAGTAAGCATATGATTCAACTGGTAAAAGCAATAGAGCATAGCATAACAGCAATTAGCCCTCTAGCCAAATGCGTTTAACAAGTCAGTATACTTTATATTATCTGTTCATCTGTAGAGGAAGTTATTTGAAGGTTAAGAGGGCATCTTTTAAGAATACTCTTGTTTTTATCACATTGGAAAATGAAAGTAGTGTTCTGGCTTTCCCTGACTAAGTCAAACTTTTATATCCACAGGTCCCATGTACACTAGCAGAAAAGTATCCTAGGGTCTTTTTAACTTTACTTTATTGTACAGTTAAAATTTAAAACTTATTATTTATTTACTAATTTATTTATCTACTTTAGTCCTGAAAACTTTTTTCTTTCAAAATCTTATAAGCAGTCACAATATATTAAACATAAAATTCTTTTTTATAAAAGAAAAAGGGTCCTCAAGTCTAATTTATTTTAATTTTCATTTGCCAAAGAAAGTGACCAATAAGGTGGAGTTGAAAGGAATTCAGTTTGACTCTTATAACTCTAAAGAGTAGTATTCTTTCTTTCTCTCTCTCTCTTTTTTTAATTAGAGACAGGATCTCACTATGTTGCCTAGGCTGGTCTCGAACTCTTGGGCTCACCTTGGGCTCCCAACGTGCTGGGATTACAGGCATGAGCCAGCATGCTCAGCCAAGTCTTCTTTTTCATTTCTTCAATTTATGTTATATGTTGTCTTTAGAATACTATGCCTTTTATAGGTTCAGCTCTCTTATACCAAATTTTTTTTTCTTTAATAAACAGTGGTGTTAAAAGCTGCATGGCTGCTAGAAATCTTCTTTGAGTAATTTCTCACTACCTTCACTTCTAAACTGAACACAAAAATAACCAGAGAAGAATGACCAATCATTTTAAGTGTGGACTTTATAATGCTGTCTACAGCAGCTTTCCTTCTGAATTAAGTGTTCCTCTTTTAACTCTGGCCTTGAAAGCTCAGTCTAAATATCGTAAAACACGTGGCATCAAGGGTTGGAATCTGTGCACTCTAGATCTTCAATGTCCTTTAGGTCTAAGACAAAGAGTATTTTATAGCTTTGCACTCAGATGGCCACAATTCTGACTTTAGCAAAATTGGATTATTGCACCATGTAATGAGTATAATAAGGAAGGAATAGCTGTGAATTGCTGTTCAAAATTTTTCAGAGGAGACAGCATTCAAGAAAGGCTCCTGGCTTTAGAATCATAGAATTTTCAGACTACAAAAGGCCTTAGAAATCACTGATTTCCCAGAGGTAGCAAGTGACCTAACCATATCACTAGTAAAATGCACAAACTGTAAATTTCCTTAGATCTTATTTTAGTCCTCCTTCCTCAATGCAAATGGACCACATCTTTTTATTGTCATTGTCATTCTTGGATTCCTCTGTGAACATAAAGAAAATCATGAGTCCACTTCTTGAAAAAATACACATATACCAACATATAACATCATCTTATTAGAATCTCAATTTACTTGTCTGTGGATTACAGCCTGAGGATGAGAGAAGACTTTGCTTCCTTAAGGTGCCTGTGAAAGAGCAGATTGTAAGTTTAATCTATTTTTGGTAAGATATATAGTGCTAAGATGTTTAAGGACACTAATTTTTCTGCATTACAGAAAAGTAAGGTATACAGAAAAGTAAGCTCACATTTCCACAGGGATTAGCTTGCAGTGCTATAAATTAGATCAGCATTCCAGGAACAAATAACAGAGTTAGTTACTTGTATTGTGACCAAGATTAACACTTTCCTAGGTATATTTTCTTAAAATTCTACCAATAAAGATACTTTTAGGAAAAATAAAACATGAAGCATATTCTAACAGATGAGTTTTTAAAAAGGTAGTTACAAAGCAGTTCAAGATTGAAACATAACTTTGCAACCTAAATTTGTCAATTCTTTAATGAAATAATCACAGCTATGAAGAAATTCATCAAATCAGAAAACAGTAAGTCTTGTAAAAGATGGTCAGTGATGATGACATAATATTAGGAAGAAAAAAAACACAAAATAATGGAGGATATCAAATAATTAAAACTGAAAAAATATTTAAAAGTATAATCCAGAAATTTTCCAGAAATAAAAGAAAGTTTCTATCTATAAAGTGAAAAGGCACACCATGTCCTTGGGAATACTAAAATTTGTAACACTGAAATACAGTCCAGTAAAATTGGACTTAAGAGTTAAGGAAAGAATCATTGAACAAACAAGTGAAAAGAACAAATCACATACAAAAGATAATAAATCAGGTAAGCATTAAACTTCTCCCAATCAACTATCAATATAAAAAGACTGAGGAGTGCTTGAACCCGGGAGGCATAGGTTGCAGTGAGCTGAGATCGCACCACTGCACTCCAGCCTGGGTGACAGAGTGAGACTCAGTCTCAAAAAAAAAAAAAAAAAAAGGCTGAAGAATAATACTTACAGGCTATTTTCTCTATTTCAGAGAAAAAAATATGAGTCAAGGGTGTTATATTCAGCCAACTTATTACATATAAACACTGTACACAGTTTTGAATAGAAAAGAGCTCAGAAAATATTATTCACAGGAGCCTGTTCTGAGAAAACTGGAGGACAAGCTCTTGCAATACTTGAAAGATGTCACTCCACTCTATTTTTGATTACATGATTTCTAAAAGTAGGTTTGAGATCATTTTTATCCTTGCTCCTCTATCAGTAAGGTTTTATTCAGTTTGGGTTTTGTTTTCCTCTGGTTTCTTTAAAGAGTGTTGTCTTTGTCAATTTGTTTGAGTTCATTGTAGATTCTGGATATTAGCCCTTTGTCACAAATTTACAAGAAAAAAACAAACAACCCCATCAAAAAGCGGGCGAAGGATATGAACAGACACTTCTCAAAAGAAGACATTTATGCAGCCAAAAAACACATGAAAAAATGCTCATCATCACTGGTCATCAGAGAAATGTAAGTCAAAACCACAATGGGATACCATCTCACACCAGTTAGAATGGCGATCATTAAAAAGTCAGGAAACAACAGGTGCCGGAGAGGATGTGGAGAAATGGAAACACTCTTACACTGGTGGTGGGACTGTAAACTAGTTCAACCATTGTGGAAGTCAGTGTGGCAATTCCTCAGGGATCTAGAACTAGAAATACCATTTGACCCAGCCATCCCATTACTGGGTATATACCCAAAGGATTATAAATCATGCTGCTATAAAGACACATACACACGTATGTTTATTGCGGCACTATTCACAATAGCAAAGACTTGGAACCAACCCAAATGTCCAACAACGATAGACTGGATTAAGAAAATGTGGCACATATACACCATGGAATACTACGCAGCCATAAAAAAGGATGAGTTCATGTCCTTTGTAGGGACATGGATGAAACTGGAAACCATCATTTTCAGCAAACTATCGGAAGGACAAAAAACCAAACACTGCATGTTCTCACTCATAGGTGGGAATTGAACAATGAGAACACATGGACACAGGAAGGGGAACATCACACACCGGGGACTGTTGTGGGGTGGGGGGAGAGGGGAGGGATAGCATTGGGAGATATACCTAATGCTAAATTACGAGTTGATGGGTGCAGCACACCAACATGGCACGTGTATACATATGTAACAAGCCTGCACATTGTGCACATGTACCCTAAAATTTAAAGTATAATAATAATAAATTTTTTTTAAAAAAAAGAGTGTTGTCTTTGTCTTGTATTTTCTGCAGTTTGCATGTGATATTCTTAGGTATAGATTTTTTTTAGTATTTGTCCTGTATATTGTTATTCGAGCTTCTGGGATCTGTGTTTTGGTGTCTATCATTAACTTTGGAATATTCTCAGTCATTACTGCTTCAAACATTCATTCTGTTGCTTTTTCTCTTCTGGTATTATCATTACACATATATCACACCTTTTGTAATTCTCCCACAGTTCATAGATATTCTGTTGTATTTATTTATTTTTTCTCTTTGCCTTTTAGTTTTAGAGATTTCTATTGACATCACTTAAAGATGATTGATGAGTTGATGAGAATTGAGAGAATTGATGAGAATTGTTGATGAGAATTATTCATTTGTGTTAGTGTTTTTCATTTCTGCCATTGTCTTTTGATTTTTAGAGCTTCCATCTCTCTGCTTACATTACCCATCTGTTCTTGCATGTCGCCAACTTCTTCTAGTAGAGCACTTAGCATATTGCGTTTGTTTTAAATTCTCAATCTCATAATTCCAACATCTGAGTTTGGTTCTGATGCTTGCTCTGTCTCATCAAACTGTATTTTCTTCCTCTTTTAGTTCACTTTGTAATTTCTTACTGAAAGACAGACATGATGCACTAGATAAAAGGAACTGAGATTAAAAAAAAAAAGGCCTTCAGTGGGAGGCTTTGTGTTTATATGGCTAGGAGTTAAGCTGTTTTTATTCTTTCCTGAAGTCGTACATTTCAGAAACTAAAATTTCCTCTGGTTGTTTATGTCTTCCCTGTTGTCTGTTGGTTTCCCTAAAGACTGTTTCCCTGAGACAGGCAGTTCTTTTTGTTGTATTCTATTGTTCTTAGACATAAGCCTTTGGAACTAGTTCCACCAGAGGTTGCTGCTCATGGGCTTTTGCTCTATTAAGCTGTGACTGGCTGTATCCACCTGTCTCTCCAGTTTTTGGGGCAGTGGTTTGCTGGCAGCAGGGTAGAAAAAAAGCTTTTTCAAAAAAATGGATAACTTGGGAAATTTTTACAAAGGAATGATAGTGATCATTGAATATATTTATCCAGATTCTAAGGATAATATAGGAATGATACAAAAATTGAAGCCAAGAGAAGAATGAGAGATAAGGCAGAAAATAAAATAAGCATAACAATTGCTACATACGTAGTAAGTTAAAGACAGAGGTTACTATTTAAATCTGAAGTATCATTTAGCATGAGCATAAACGTATTTAACAATAGAAAAATATCAAGAAAAATAATACAATGGGCTAAAATTAGGTGGAAGTGGAGAAAGTAGTAGATACCTTTATTATTGCTTATTATAAAGAAAAATAGGTATTGTACAAAGGAAGAGGACTGGAATAAACATTACAAAAGTATAGGATTATAGCTAAGGATAAGCACTAGAATTAAAATAAAGATCTTTCTAAATATCAAAAATTACATTTTAAAAAGATAATTTAAGGCTTCAAAATTTCTCTGAAAAATGGCCCTTAACCTATATCTCACAGGTTTTTCTGGTTAACATTTCCATTATCATGTTCTAACATTTTAAAATTCCTATTACATTATATATGTGTGTGTATATATATACACACACACACACTTTTATATATATATATATATATATATACACACACAGTTTATATATATATTATATTTTTTACTTTGGGTTATTTAGAATGAAAGAGTTTTGCTAAATTTAAACTACATTGGAATAAATTTATTCATTATTTTGTAATTTAATTCTAACTTCAGTGTGTTGTGATCAGAAGCATGGTCTGAAAATTTATTATTTAAAGTCTGAGACCCACTTTAACATGGTTCATTTTTACATGTTCTGTATATGCATTTAGATCATATGGGCCATCTCCAACTGATGGGTCCAAGTTGATTAAATTAGCTTTTTAAATTGTGCATCTACACCTCTTCTATTTTTTCTAAAATTTCTTTTTGAAATGTTAATAATTGTGAAAAGTATGTGAAATTTCCTAAAATAATGTGATTTTGTCAATTGTTCCGTTTAGCTCTCTTGAATATGCTCTCTAGATATCAAAATTATTCTATTGGTTTTATATTACATAAAATCATTAAATCTCTCTGGTGAATTAAACTTTTACCTTTTCCATAATAATGCCATCTCTTTCAAGTCTATTTTTCCTGACACAATACACCCCCGTGCTTTGTTTTGGTTTGTATTTGCCAAGATTATTTTATTTCATCTTTTATTTTCAACATTTCAATGAAATGTTGGTGTTTTTTGTTATTGTGTTTTGTCTGTTTGGTGGGCTGGCTAATTAGTTTGGTTAATTCTTCTTTAAGAGCACAAGGGCTTTAATCACACCTGTAATCCTAGCATTTTGGGAGGCCAAGGCAGGCAGATTGCCTGGGTGCAGGAATTCAAGACCAGCCTGGCCAACATGGTGAAAACCCTGTTTATCTCTACTAAAAATACAAAAAATTAGCCAGGCCTGGTGGCTTCCAATTGTAACCTCAGCTACTGAAGAGGCTGAGACACAAGAATCACTTAAACCTGGGAAACAGAGGTTGCAGTGAGCTGAGATTGTACCACTGCATTCCAGCCTGGGCAACAGAGTGACACTGTCTCAAAAAAAAAAAAAAAAAATGAGACGAGGATAACAGATTCCTCTTCTCCTAGAATTTCTTTACACTATTTAATTTTCATCAAATCTATCCCCCAGTTCAATTTCTGACAATTATCTATCTGTTCTTCATTCTTACAATTTTGCCTTTTCCAGATTTTATATTAGTGTCATCATATAGTATGTAACATTCTGACTTAGGTTACTTTCATGTAGTATAACGCATTCAAAAGCCCTCCAAATTATTGCATGTATCGATAATTCTTTTTACTGATGAGTTATAGTCTACTGTACTGTATGGATGTAATAGTGGTTTATCCATTCATCAGTTGAAGAATTTAGGGGTTATTTTTAGTTTGGGGCCATTATGAGTACAGTTGATATAAACATATGTATTTTGTGTAAATACAGTTTTCTTTCTCCAGGGTTAATACATAGGAGTGAGACTGCTAAATCTAATGATAATTTTTTTTAATTTTTAAGAAACTATCAAACTCTTTCTCAGAGTGGCTGTACTATTTTGCATTCCCACCAGTAACTCCAAGTAATCCAATCTTAAGCATTTTTTTCTCAACAAAATATTACAAATTAAACTGTAACAATTATTCTTCTTGTATACTTACAACATTCATACTGCATGCAGAAAGAACATACTAGACAAAGAATTGAGCCATTCTGGTAAATGATAAATCAACTGTGGTGTTTCAGCTACTTTCTGCTTTTTATTTTAATTTTGTCATTATGAGGGTGCCATGTTTCTCAATTCCAAATGGCACCATTCACATCTTACTCTATGGAATTTTGTCCTGATTTTTGTTTTTACATCTTCAGTGAATGTACACAATGAGCAGAACCATCATGCAGTGTGTTTGTAATTTTCATTAACCTATTATCACAGTATAGTATCAAAGGAAATAAGAAAATCAAAAATAATTTCTAAAACCAAGTTAGAGCCTTTTCAATGTATGTATAAAACAAATTTTCACAGCAGCATAAAATTATTTTTCAAAGCATGATTACAAAAAATCAGTACTATATGATGTTAATATCTTTAATTTGGGATGTTCAGTGAAAGGGAGAATCTTTAGTTAAATAAGTTTAGAATAATGTATTTAACCATATCTTGCTCCACTTCTTGTACTACTCAGATATTTTAATATGTTATATTAAAGAGAGAGCTAGCTAACAGATCGTTTTTCAAGCCTATTTTATCGTTGGATTCTGCTTAAGAATTTCATAGAAACTTTTGAGCTTGCTGCTATAAGGATATCAGAGAGAACCATTAAAGGAAAACTTATAGTAGCATTTGTTCCAGGTGAGCAGTTATTATCTGGCTCAATTTAATGTAGATCATCTGAGAATGGCATTACAAATTGAATGTAAAATAGAAAGTACCTACAGGAAGAAAATGGGTTAGTTAGAACATTTTTATAAAGAGAGGGCATTTGTAGATAGCACCGATGCATAACAGGTCATAACCAAGTGTCTGAAACCATTTACAGAATAGTTAACATCTTAAGAACTCTGGCTTTACATGACATTTCTGTTGACACTTTCTATTATCTATAAGATTTCTATAGACCGACAAGAGATAACTCTTAGAAAAGCAAGGATTCTCTATCCCTTTCCCGCTAACTCACACACCCAGAGTGTCTGAGGTGTTAAACCTATTATGTTCAATTCAAGTGGTAGTTTTTTTAAGTATTGTAGAGTGTTGCCATGGGAGGCATCACTCCACTCTTAAGACCTAAAGCCTCATTTGTGGAAGAGTGAAATGGAGAAAAAAAATTAGATGTCTCCATGGATAACCTAGTGCTTTTAACTATACTTCTTAGGTGCTTTGAGCATTAAAAAAAGGGAAAAAAAGTTTCTACGTGGTTTTGTTTGTTTGGTTGGTTAGTTTTGGCCATGGGCTTGGTAGACAGCAGCATAGAAATTTGACAATATTTTCTGCCTACAGAAATGTATCACTTTGTATTATGTACTTGTATTACGGATTTAGAGTTATTTTCAGTTTGGGGCCATTATGAATATAGCTGTTTTGGTGCCATTATGAATACAGCTGCTATAAATATAATTTTCTTTCTATATCTGAATATCATTTTGTAGTTTCTGCATTCTACAAGCTTGATGTATCTATCTATCTATCTATCTTCTATCTATCCATCCATCTATCAGTCTTTCTTTCTATCTATCAATCTATCCATCCATCCATCCTCTCTCTTTGTATCTCGGCTTTTTATTATAAACCACAATTTATGAAATCAGAAGAGGCAGAAAAACAGGGCAATGTATTGTCACACACTTCACAAATCTCTCTCTCTCTCTCTCTCTCTCTCTTTCTCACAGACACACAGGCACACAATTTTTATCTAGTTAATGCTGCTCTTGGGTAATCAGATCTATTTTCTAAGGTTTATGGAACAGATAAGATACTTTATTATGAAACTCAGCAAAATTGAATGAATTTGTGTTACAATCCCATCCTCTGAAACTAAACAACATGTATTTGAAATGCATTTGGAAATGGACTTTAGGATTCAATTCATTGTTTTTTAAGGTAAAGGAACATCCAGACATAACATCGGTTGTAGTTAATAGCTTTACAGCTCAAAACCAATGCATATTTTCATTTTTCTCCCAATGTTCCTGTTACAGTAACAAACCCAAGGCCTTGCTTTATGATTCTTTAACTTTCATCCTCTGATTGCTTTAACAGTCCAGTTCCTATATAATCCCAGCACTTTGGGAGGACGAGGTGGGCGGATCATGAGGTCAGGAGATCGAGACCACCCTGGCTAACACGGTGAAACCCCGTCTCTACTAAAAATATAAAAAAGTAGCCTGGCGTGGTGGTGGGCACCTGTAGTCCTAGCTACTTGGGAGGCTGAGGCAGGAGAATGGCGTGAACCTGCGAGGCAGAGCTTGTAGTGAGCTGAGATCATGCCACTGCACTCCAGCCTGGGCAACAGAGCAAGACTCCATCTCAAAAAAAAAATTAACATTAACAATAAGGAAAAAATAAGCAGTTGGAGACTAGCTTAAATAGAGGGCTAAAAATTTACATATTTTTCACAATAGCTATTGAGGCTCACTTTTAAAACTCTTTGTGAATGATATACTTACCTTTTACTTAAAATTTCACAGTGAATATTAACCACCAATACATGAGCAGCTACCAATAGTATGTGTGTTAGCAGCAGCAAATCCATATGTATCTGCAGCAACCTCAATTCCTGCTTCCTCAGAAGAAAGAATTTGACTGAAGGGCATAAGGCAGGAGAGACCCAGGCAAGCTTGAGAGCAGGAGTAAGTTTATTTAAAAGCTTTAGAACAGTAATGAAAGGAAATAAATTACACTTGGAAGAGGGCCAAACAGGTGACCTGAGAGATCATGTGCATGGTGCACCGTTTGAACTTTGACTTAGGATCTTATATGTTAGCATATTTCCAGGGTCTTGCATCCCTTCTCTGATTGTTTCCTTGGGGTGCAGCAGCCTGCAAGTGCTTGGGAGAAACTGCGTGTGCAGTGTGTTTACTAGAGTTGTACACATGCTCATTTGAGGAGTTTTTCCCTTACCAGTACAGTGTTCCTAGAGAAAGGTTATCTGCCATTTTGCCTCTTAGTGAGCATGCTTTAGCCCACTCTCTCAACTCCTGAGATCTTATTGGGAAGCTACTGATCACCAGTTTCAGGTGTTTCTATTGATTGGGAGACTGCCTTTCCCTGGTGTTGGCTGTGACCAATTATTAATGTAGAGAAACAGTGTAACAACTGCCTGACCACCTGATGGTTGCCTGACATTCCTGGTGGAAAGGGGAGCCCTCTCCTGCCCTGTGCATGACTGACTAGCTACCTACTGTAACATATTCATCATTAAAATTACAATTAGTAATAAGTTAATAATAAGTTGAAGTTGGGGAAGGGAGACAGCAAATGTGCCTTTAATTTTTAATATTTTTCTTATGTTGAATTGCCAAGTGGGAAGAATATATTTCTTTCTAGCATCAATTATTTAAAAAGACAATTAAAATAGGTAAACTACAGGCAAGATCATCCAAATAAATAAAAAGAGAGAAGACACAAATAACCAAAATTAGGAATGAAGAAAGAGAAATGATTCTACCACAACAGACATTTGAAAAGCAGTAAATAATATTATGAATTTTTATGCCACGAAGTTTGAAAACTGGGTAAAACAGCAATTTCCCAGAAAAACAATTTGTAGAAATTAGCTAAACAAGAAATATAAAACTGAATAACCCTGGATTTTAGATGGGTCAGAAAAATGCTCCACAAGATCTTTATTTCCCAGCAACACTTTGAAGATAGTAGTGTCTGTGTGACACTTTTCTGGCTAATGAGTTAAAAGCAGATGTTTGGTGAGTCACCTGAGATAGTTCCAAAAAAATAAAAAATAAAAGGGGGCAGATTATTTTCAGATGTACCTTTTCTTCTTTGTCTTCTTATGCCCAGAATGGGGACATAAGACTGGGGTAGAGCAGCTATCCAGGAACCAGTAAGTGACAAAAATAAAGATGACTGAATAGAAAATAGTAGGAGCCTGGAGCCCAGATGGCTTTATGATGCTGCTTCAGCTCTGCACTTCTTACCTCTTCTGAGGTTCCCATTGAGAAGAATTAGTCCCCTGATATGTTTGAGCCACTTTCTTGTTGGTTTCCTCCTCATCAAACACAATTCCTAACTAATAGATGTAGCATGTATTCGTATCCTTAATCTCCCTAATTTTTTTTATAGTTTTTTTTGTGTTTTACTAGTTTTTGGTTTTGTTTTGTTTTGATGTTTGTTTTGTTTGTTTGTTTGGCTGGCTTTTGTTTTTCTTTTTTGTATGATGTTAAAATAGCTATATGATCATTGTTTTGTTTTGAAATCATGCCAAACACACACACACACACACACACACACACTTTTGTTCTGTGACTTTTGACTTTCCTCTGTGCATTTCTTTTAAGTGTGTCTTGTAAACAGCATTACAGGTGTAGCCTAGAAGAATCTCCCATGTATGGCACTTCCCAGGGCAACTTTGCAATCAGAATGCTGAAGAAACAACACATCCCTAAGCATTTCTCTAAATAATGGTATGGAACACATGACACCTCCATCACACATCAAGTGCCATCCCTCAACTGACCTGGCATTGTATTGTTTTGTTATAAATGTCTACTGTTCAAACTACCATACTTTTGGGGGTTTGTTTTGCAAATGACTTCTTACATTAAATAATATTATGTTTTAATTCTTATAAATAGTATTTGTAGTTTTTAATTCTGCAGCCTGTTAACTAATGTCTTATCCATTTCTCATATTTTAATTATTTTGTTTTTAAATGAACTTTGTTGAAGTAAAATAATATTGAGGGAAAACAAAATATTTGCATTTTAATTTTCCAGTCTGATGAACATTAAAAAATTGTACACTTGTGTAACTATCACTCCAATTAAAAAAAAACAGATTAAGTCAACCATAACTTACTGATTACTAATCCTGAGTATTATGAGCAGATTCAGCTTAACTCAAATAATGTTTAAGTAAAATTTGCAATACGATTTAATAGCTATTCATTGATTTACTAGGAATTAAAATAATAATAGAGATAATATGTGAATTGCCTGAAAAGAATGAACAGAGTTGGTTGCAATGTATAAAAATAAACATATTGTATTTATGTCACAACGCAGAAAATCTTTCAATCTTTGGTTTTCAAACTGGACTCCACAACACCCTGGGAGTCTTTTAAGATGTTTCAGGGATTTTCTGATGAGGTTAAGGCAAAGGGAAGGCCGAGTCTTTGGGTATAATTCAGAGGAAGAATTTGAACTAAAATAATTAAATTTTTATTACATAAAAAGGAGAGAATTTTGATAACTATCAAATAGCTAATGAATAAAAAAATTGTATGGGGGGACAGCAAGGACTCTGGATAAAGAAGAATTTGGAAAAATGTCAAGATAGGGAAAATACACCCTCATCAATGCAGCAGCAGACTGGTCTAATAGGGGAAAGAGGGCCAGTGAGAAGTTAACTGTGCTGGGGCCAGATGTGGTGGTTAACGCCTGTCATCCTAACATTTTGGCCAAGGCAGGTGGATCACCTGAGGTCAGGAGTTTGAGATCAGCCTGGCCAACATGATGAAAGCTCGTCTCTATTAAAAATAGAAAAATTAGCTGGGCATCATGGTGAACGCCTGTAATCCCAGCTACTCGGGAGGCTGAGGCGGGAGAATCACTTGAACCTGGGAGGCAGAGGCTGCAGTAAGCCAAGATCGTGCCACTGTACTCCAGCCTGGGTGACAGAGCAAGACTCTACCTCAAAACAAAACAAAACAGAAATTAACAGTTCTGGGGCCATTCAAAGGATTTTAAGAATGCTGACATATATTATTAAGATGTTTCTGTTCTGTGTTTTTTTATATCCCCTTGTCCTTTTGCCCCAGATGGTTAGTAAAATAATTTCACATGAGAGTATGATGCTTTGGTACATAAAAGAGAAAGTAAGTGCATTCATCTTACGGAGTAAATTGCTGTGGAAGAGTTCAGAAGTCACAAGAAGAAATATAGTAAGAGGAGCCAATAATTGAGATCTGAGAGCAGGGATTTGCAACAAGAATTAACGAATAAATTCCATGGCCTACATATTCAGAAGTTTGAGCAAGCATTAAACTTCCCATAGGAAAGCATATGGGGACAGAAAAATATACTCAGCTATTAAAAGGCTAGGAGCTTATAGAAGGCCATGAAATGGAAGATGTTTGGATATTTATGATTTCAAAATTAGTAGGTTTGTTGAATAAACCATAATTTTAAAAGGGCAGAATATTTTTCTTTAACTTGTTACATGAATTTGAAATTTCTAAGGACTTAAAATTACACGTACAGCTAAATTATCTTTCTATATGGCTTCTGTGGCCTGGTTAAAAAAAAAAAAGGCTAGTCAGTCTGGTTCTGCATGAACTTTGTGACTCAGGCTGTCATTTCTTATTTTTGCAAAATGTAGCAAGTTTTTTTACTTCCCTTATGGAGAAGTTTATAAAGGAGATTATAGAGGTTATGGAAAAGCTTACAAATGATCACATTTCCTAATCCTCTCTACACAATATTCTATGAAACCCCTTTTATTTTCATCTGAGTTCTGAGTTTCTAAAGAGTAATACAGCCTTTTAAAAAGATTAATTATAATATCTAAATGTCAAGCACTGTAAAGCCCAGTTAACTATGGATTTCTTGAATTGAAGAACTGTGTTTTTCTCTGATCCCAACATCTGAAGCAGGGTCTGGTATGTGTCCAATTTATCGTTTAAACAGGATAACAGTAATAAAGAAACAGAACACAATTAGGGTTTTTTAAACATAAAGCCATTCAACTTTGGGAGGCCATCTGCTATGGTTTGGCTGTGTCATCACCCAAATCTCATCTTGAATTGTAGCTCACACAATTCAGATGTGTCATGGGAAGAACCCGGTGGGAGGTAGTTGAATCATGGGGGTGGGTCTTTCCCATGCTGTTCTCATGGTAGTGAATAAGTCTCATGAGATCTGATGGTTTTATAAATGGGAGTTTCCCTACACAAGCTCTTTCTTTGCCTGCTGCCATCTATGTAAGACATGACTTGCTCCACCTTCCTCCATGATTGTGAGGCTTCCCCAGCCATGTGGAACTGTAAGGCCATTAAACTTCTTTCTTTTCTAAATTGCTCAGTCTCAGTTATGTCTTTATCAGCAGTGTGAAAATGGACTGATACAATAAATTAATACCAGTAGAGTGGGGTGCTGCTGAAGAGATACCCAAAAATATGGAAGCAACTTTGGAACTGGGTAACAGGCCAAGGTTGGAACAGTTTGGAGGGCTCAGAAGAAGATAGGAAAATGTGGGAAAGTTTGGAACTCCTTAGAGACTTGTTGAATGGCTTTGACCAAAATGCTGATAATGATATGGACAATGAAATCCAAGCTGAGGTGGTCTCAGATAGAGATGAGGAACTTGTTGGGAACTGGAGTGAAGGTGACTCTTGTTATGCTTTAGCAAGGAGACTGGTGGTATTTTGCCCCTGCCCTAGAGATTTGTGGAACTTTGAACTTGAGAGGGATGATTTAGGGTTTCTGGTGGAAGAAATTTCTAAGCAGCAAAGCATTCAAGAGGTGGTTTGGGTGCTTTTAAAGGCATTCAGTTTTAAAAGAAAAAAACAGAGCATAAATGTTTGGAAATCCCATTTTCTGAGGAGAAATTCAAGCCAGCTGCAAAAATTTGCATAAGTAACAAGGAGCCAAATGTTCATCACCAAGGCAATGGTGAAAATGTCTGCAGAACACGCCAGAGACCTTTGCAGCAGCCCCTCCCATCACAGGCCTGGAGGTTTAGAAGGAATAAATGGTTTCATGGGCCCAGCCCAGGGTCCCTCTGCTGTGGGCACTCTAGGGACTTGGTGCCCTGCATCCCAGCCACTCCAGCCATGGCTGAAAGGGGCCAAGGTACAGCTCAGGCTGTTGCTTCAAAGGGTGGAAGCCCCAAGCCTTGGCAACTTCCATGTGGTGTTGAGCCTGTGGGTGCACAGAAGTCAAGAACTGAGGTTTGGGAACCTCCGCCTAGATTTCAAAGGATGTATGGAAATGCCTGGATGCCCAGGCAGAAGTTTGCTGCAGGGGAGGGGCCATCATGGAGAACCCCTGGTAGGGCAGTGCAGAAGGGAAATGTGGGGTCAGAGCCCCACACAGAGTCCCTACTGGGGCATTGCCTAGTGGAGCTGTGAGAAGAGGGCTACCGTCCTCCAGGCCCCAGAATGGTAGATGCACCTGCAGCTTGCACTGTGCACCTGGAAAAGCCACAGACACTCAACCCCAGCCCAAGAAACCAGCCAGGAGGGGGCTATACCCTGCGAAGATGCAGGGGTGGAGCTGCCCAAGTCCATGGGAGCCCACATCTTGCATCAGTGTGACCTGGATGTGAGACATGGAGTCAAAGGAGATCATTTTGGAGCTTCAAGATTTGACTGCCCCGCTGGATTTTGGACTTGCATGGAGCCTGTAGCTCCTTTGTTTTGACCAATTTCTCCCATTTGGAATGGCTGTATTTACCCAGTGCCTGTACCCCCGTTGTATCTGGGAATGCTTTTGATTTTACAGACTTATAGGAGGAAGGGGCTTGCTTTGTCTCAGATGAGACTTTGGATTGTGGACTTTTGAGTTGATGCTGAAATGGGTTAAGACTTTGGGAGACTGTTGGGAAGGAATGATTGGTTTTGAAATGTCAGGACATGAGATTTGGGAGGGGCCAGGGGCTGAATAATATGATTTGGCTATGTCCTCACTCAAAGCTCATCTTGAATTGTAATTCTGACAATTCCCACATGTTGTGGGAGGAACCCAGTGGGAGGTAATTGAATCATGAAGGAACGTCTTTCTCATGCTGCTGTCATGATAGTGAATAAGTTTCATGAGATCTGATGGTTTCATTTTATTATTATTATTATTTTTTTTTTTTGAGATGGAGTCTCGCTCTGTCGCTCAGGCTGGACTTCAGTGGCACAATCTCGGCTCACTGAAAGCTCTGCCTCCCAGGTTCACGCCATTCTCCTGCCTCAGCCTCCCATGTAGCTGGGACTACAGGTGCCCACCAGGACGCCCAGCTAATTTTTTGTATTTTTTTAGTAGATACAGGGTTTCACCATGTTAGCCAGGATGGTCTCGATCTGCTGACCTCGTGATCCGCCTGCCTCAGTTTCCCAGAGTCCTGGGATTACAGGCGTGAGCCACCACACCCAACCAAGATCTGATGGTTTTAAAAACAGGAATTTCCCTGCAAAAGCTCTCTCTTTGCCTGCTGCCATCTATGCAAGATGTGAGTTGCTCCTCCTCCCTCCATGATTGTGAGGCTTCCCTAGTCATGTGGTACTGTAAGTCCATTAAACTTCTTTCTTTTGTAAATTTCCCAGTCTCAGTTATGTCTTTATAAGCAGCATGGAAACAAATAATACACCATTCTTAAGAAAAAGAATCAAAATTGCCAATACAAAATTAAGAACAGGAATCTGAGAGCCCCTAACCTTAAGCTTCATTTGCTTTATGGGAAAATTGCCTGACTTTAATTTTTCTCTTTTAATACGATTTCTATCTTCCTCTTTTATTTGCTTTACTAATGTTTGCCCTTTATTAAAGTTGTCATGCATCATAATTTTAATTTTTTTTTAAATGTTATTTTTGCCTCCTGACAAGGAAACAAGAAGTTAAAGGGCCATACTAGAAGTCCCAGAACAGAGAGCCAAGTTTTGGATAAAATGAATTAATAACATTTTCAGAGAAGTGTTTTCTTAATTTAAAAAAATAAAGTCTTATATTCCATTTAAATGACATCTTTGAAACTGATGCCATATAGTTTTCTATACTAGATGTCTGTTTTTATTTAAAATGTTTCCTCCCTTAAGACCACATGATGGCAACATAACCCCTACAGACAGCTTTGTTCCTGAGCCCCTTCATCTTGGGTAATGCTTAAAGGAAATCCAATTTCCATTCTCTCAGGTATCAAGAGCTTACCTGTCAGGTAGTTTGCCAGAATTTTGCGTGAGGGGATTTAGTTTTCTTTTCATTTTACTATAGTTTATCTATAACAGATCAGGATTTTTAAAACTTTAATCATAATTTTCGCATTACTTTTAAAAAAATAATAATTCTGTTGTCGTTAAACAAACTGGCCCAGGTAAAACTTTCTAGAACCAAGAGCCTTTATTAAGACAAAAGATATTTATTGTAATATGAAATTATAAAAACACTAATATGACAAAAATTATTTAGTCTCCCTCTCCCCAAAGTTTGTATAATACCTCCTCTCCAACCATTATCTGAAGTATATTTGAACAATTAAGGGAAAAAAGCTTAAAATAAAAATATAGTAGGTCAAAGAAACATTAACCACAAAGAGAAATATAAATTTGCAAGTATAACAAGTGCTGTAAAGAAAAGTGCATGGTATTTTGAGATCCTATACAGCACTCATTTTTCATTTCTACAACCTCTTTCTTCTGTAATAGGGGGAAGATTAGTCAAAAGTTGGTTGCTTAAAGAAATGCTGATTTTACTGAAATCTGAAGGATTAGATAGCACTGAACAGTTCAAAATGAAGTTCAAGAGGAAAAGTAGAACAATAGAACATTAAAAGTTCTGTGGTTAGACCAGGATTAAATTGATAAAGGTTTTAGGAAATCAGGGGTGCAGGGCATTCTCAGACAACCCCCAAATAACAGACAAGTTATTGCAACTTGGATTTTCTAACATAAAGGAATAAATGTACAATGATTAATGTGCTTTTTTTTGGTTTTTGGGAGGATCATATTCTAAAACCAGGAATTCTGATAAAGCTAGCTTTGAATAGGCCCTAGGGCAAGAAAAAGTTCTCAACAGGTCCAAAATGTGATTAAGCAGCTGGCTTCTTTGGCCATACGACCTGAAAGAGCCCATGACAGAACACATATCTACAGCAGAAAAAGTCACCATTTTGAGCCCTAATAGGAAAGTTCTAATGCAGATCCTTTGCTCTAGACAGGGTCATGTCATGTGCAACAGAATAGCGTCTCTCTGCATTATATTGGGTTTTAGTAGAAATAACCTGACTAGCCATTTGAACATCAAATAACTATGTGGCCGTAAGATTGTATCATGAGCAAATTACTATTAGATTCACTAAGGCAGGCAGAACCAGCATAATCTCATAGTAAAATGGAAGTGGTACATCTGTGACTAGGTCCAAAAATGTCTGAGGGCACAGGTTAGCTGAATAAGTGGTGACAATGTCCTTCATGACACTTACCTCTCTTGTACCGATACCTGTTCTTTGGTACGACTCATCCATGGTCTTACGGGGGTTTCTTATCACTAGCTGATGGAGGCAAAAAAAAAAAAAAAAAAAAGCTCAAGCTTACTGCACCTGTCATGGTTGACCTGTCATGTAGGAGCAAGTTGAAAACTGTAGCATTATTCAACTACCCTACTCCAGCCCCTTTTTGGAGTACACATGAAAGAAGTAAAAGAAGTGACATCCTCCCATGGGTAGAGTTTTGAGCAGTGCTTCTGGTCATCCCTTTTGTGTGCAGAGAAAAGTAAACAAAGTAAAGATTTACATATACTTATGAGTATTGAAAATGTCTTATCAGGTTGGCCAGAGTCCTGGAATGAGCAAGATTGGCAGATCAATACAGGAAGATCTGGGGAAAAGCCATGTGTAATGTACTTGTGGGAGGTGGGGAAAAAAGTATGAGGGTATTTTAAAATCACATATAAATGCCAGTTACAGGATATTCACTCCAAAGAGGGAATAATAAAATGAATGGATAGGGTAATTTTGTGAGTAAATGCTAGCTCTTCTCTGACCTCAGCCACCTCTGCTCATTCATAGGCTTATGAATGATGTAAACACTGTATTTGAGATAGCAGCTATGCCAACATTATGGGGTTTCTTCACTTCCACCTCTTCTTCTGACTTAAGTTTATCTAGCTATTTCTGCTGCTGAATGCCTGACCTATCAACAATGGAGACCACTGATGAGTCCATAATATACCACAATTCTTCAAGGAGGCCCACTAGACACTCGATGTGGGTTAATTACATTATAATCTTCAATTCTAGAAAAGGCATTAATTCACATTGAATAGAATCGACTTCTATTCCAGGTATATTACTTTATAATCTACTAAGATGGCATCTAGCAAAACATTTCAATTCACTTTTTAGTAAAGACTCATGGTAGTGCATTCTGACCACAGGATTATGGTATTACAACATATTGGTTCTTCCACATACCGGTTCTACTACTTACCACAGCTATCCAGAACCTACCAAATGTCGTAGAGTGATGGAAGAGCTCTCTAAAAGTACAAATAAAATGCCAATTAGAGATGACACATTGTGGGAATTGTACACTATATCCTTCAATACATGGCATATATCTTAAACCAATGATCATTATATAGTATCGTCTCTCAAGAAGTAGAATATGTTGGTTCTGAGAATAAGGAATGAAAGTAGTAATGGCACTAACACCATTATTCACAATTTTGCTTCCTATTTCAGCATTTTAGGCTCAGTAAGTCTAGTAGTCCTTGTTTCTGAAAGGGGAACTCTTCCACCAGGAGACACAGCAAGGGTCACTTGCGAGTGCCAGTGGACCAGTGGGCAACAAAGGGAATCACTATTCTGGCAGAGGTAATTGGCACTGATCACCATGAGGTAGTAAGGGAGGGCCAGGAAGGAATAGATTTGGAATTCAAATAATCAACTGGAGTGTCTCTGAATATTCCCATGCTGAGTTGTAAATGTAAATGGACAAGCAGAGCAGTCACATCCTGGTAAGGGCATGGTAATCAGGAACTTAGAACCCTTAGGGGGTTAGCGTCTAATAAACCCACCAGCCAAGTCACCTATACTAGCAGAATTCCTAGTTGTACAAGAAGGGACTTCTATGGGAGTATTCCCGGACTGAATGGAGAGTCGGGGTGCTTATTCTCGTGGCCCAGTAACAAGATGCAGATGCACTGGGAAAAAAGAGAGTTTATTTCCGTAACCGGGTACAGGGAGAAGGCTGGAAAAATATCACCAGACCAACTCAGAATTACAAAGTTTTCTAGAGTATATACCTTCTAAGCTATATATCTATGTGTAAGTATGCATTCGTCAAAGGACATAAGTGATTAACTCCTTCTAATCTACATCTAAGATCTGAGTCCTGAAGACCTTCCTCTGGAACTTCAGTAAATTTACTTTATCTAGATGGTTCCAGGTGCCAGGGATGATTAGCCTTACCTTGTCTCCCACTAAATCATGGAGGTTTGGGGAGTTTCTTTAGACACTAATAAAAGTTGTTTGTGGAGGTCTGGGGGGGTTCCTTCAGACCCCAAATAAAACTTGTTTAATCCTCAAAAGGTCCTGTTAAGAATTCCTTTGCTATATTCTCATGCTTCAAGGCCCAGGAAAGGCTGAGGCAAAACTCTTGGGGGGCTTTTGTTACATCCTAGCCTTTGTACAAGGACACTGGCTCTATCAGCTTTTAATATTTAACTTAATCACTTAGTCAGTGCTGAAACAGTTGTCATGGAGGCCTGCCTGTTCAGCTGTTAGTGAGACCTGGCCTGCCGCAGGAGTGGCCATAAAGTATGGAATCATGGCGAATATAATATAATTATGTATTGCTAATATAATACCTGATACATTAAATGATATTATATGGTATGCTGTTGTGTCACTTGTCAAAAATGCAAAATTTCTATCTATCCCTGCACGTGTAGCTGTGATGTGTTATTTCTCTGATTTTAACCAAAAGAAAAAAACTTTCTATTTTAGCATACCTCAGAAGTAAACAAGGTGATTCAATCTGTTGAAAGAGAGATTACCTATGTTTGTAGGTTTTATGGCCACTGGTAGCATGAGTGGTGGAGAAAGAAGTATCAATTTTAGTCTTGGAACTAGCTGCAGCATTTGGTGCTATATTTTAGCCCACTAATCTCCTCTTGTAGATATGACTAGAAATGGTGACCAAGCAGGATCCTGGAGAAGCTGTGACTAGATGGAATATATGTAACACAAAAAGCAAGTAGGTCTAGTGGTACAAGGATGGCCTAAGGTAGATGCTGTTGACATTCTACCCTTTCCCTGCAAGTGTCCTCATTCCCCAGTTGCCTCCGACTTTGGCTAATAATTCACAAATGTCTCTCTCTCTCTGGAAAATTGTCCTCTGCTAAAGCCAATTCACCCATCAAGTTGTGAAAGACTCCCCAGCCTCAGCTCCCCTTAAGGGGCAGAATTCAGTCAATGACTGACACAGGATATAAAAGTGCCTCAAAGGGGCACTAACTCTGAGGTGTAATTGTTGCTCCAAACCTTGTCTATAGAATTAAACTGAAATCCCTTTCTTCGGAGGTCACATACTTGCTTACTTTTTAATCCTCACCCTCTCCTCCCTTTCTTACTCTTTTTCTTGTATAGCACTTCTTTCTAATAAATTCCTTGACTTTGTCTCTGTTTCCAGGAATCCCCATCGAAGACAATTGGTGAGTTCAGTGCATTTCATGTATTGACATAAAAGATATATTTGTTCTTAGTTCTGTCATCATATTTTATTCACGCTTGCTAGTTTTATAGCTTTTTTGTCTTTATACGTTTTACCACATTGTTTGCTGTACTTGGATGGGTATTTGTTCTGATCATTAGAAAGGTTGTATTTTTATTGTGGTGAATAACTGTCTTAAGTTTTTACACTTAACCGTTTATTTTGTTGAATAGTACCTATAAGAGGTATTGAAATGTGAATATTTCCTCTTCCTCATCTTTTTTTTTGCATTTTCTTCTCTCACAATTACCATTTGTTTTTATGGATAGCCTTATAGTTAATTAAATCTGTGCTCAAGCTAGTACTATTCCTATATTTTACCAGAAAATATAGGAATACAAGACTTCTTAATATTTGAAGGAAGTTTTTGCTGTATTAACTCAGTGTAATATAGTGATTCATAATATATACTATATTCAAATATATATATATATTTGGTCTTCACTCTTGGACTATCCGGAGTGATAAGAGTGTTTTTTGTATGGTAATGAGATGACTGGGGGCTGGAAACCACTAGATAGCTTCAGGATGGGGAACAGTCACCTGAAAGTCCAAGACCTCTGGGGAGGGAAGAGGAGCTGAAGGTTAAGCTGATCAGTAGCAACAAATAGTTTAACCAATTGTGCCTGTGTAAGGAAGCTGCCATCAAATCCCTAAAGAACTACATTCAGAGAGCTTCCAGATAGCTGAACACATAAGAGGTTCCTGAAGGGTTGTGTCCTCTAAGAGGTTATGAAAATTCCACATGCTTTCCCCATACCCGGCCCCAAGCATCTCTTCCATCTGGCTGCTGTGCTACCCTTTATAACAACTGGTAATGGTACGTAAAGTGTTTTCCTGATTTCTGTGAGCCACTTTAGCAAATTAATCAAACCTGAGTAGGGGGTCATGGAAACTTCATTTATAATCAGTTGGTTAAAAGCACAGGCCAGATTGAGACCATCCTGGTGAACACAGTGAAACCCCTTCTCTACTAAAAATACAAAAAAATTAGCTGGGCATGGTGGCAGGCGCCTGTAAGTCCCAGCTACTTGGGAGGCTGAGGCAGGAGAATGGTGTGAACCCTGGAGGCGGAGCTTGCAGTGAGCCGAGACTGTGCCATTGCACTCCAGCCTGGGTGACAGAGAGAGATGCTGTCTCAAGAAAAAAAAAAAACAAACAAAAGCACAGTCCACAACCTGTTCCTACTATTGGCATCTGAAGTAGGGGGGTCAGTCTTGTGGAACTGGGCTCTCAGTCTGTGGGATTTGACACTAGCTCCAGTAGATCTTCCAGTGTCAGAATTGAATTGAATTGGGAGGACAACCATCTGGTGTTCATTAAAGAATCATCTGCAGAATCTGCTGAAGGACCAACTGCTGGTAGAGAGAAATCCATACACATTTTGGTGACCAGAGGTGAATTATTCTGAGTTGCATTGTGACAGTATTATAGGAAAAACAAAATATTTCTGTTCACTCAGGAAAATAATAATTTCAATTATCAATAATTGTATAAACACCTTCTCATATAAAGTTATTTCATTATTTGTCTCATTGTTTATTTCCTCTGGGAATAGTAAATTACAAATGTAACATTTCTTTTGTCTTCTATTCCCCCTTTTTTTTTCTCTGTAACTGTTTGCTTTTGTAAGTCTGTGTTATTTTGCTCATGTTTTTCAGTATGAATGAAATGACTCTTTGGTTTCAGTGGTTTCTTCTTTGTTTTGTTTCCGATATGCATGAAGTACATTCATTGCGCACTGTTTAACAACTTACTTGAGTCCTGTGAGACAGAACACCCACATATGCAACGAGTTACAAAAGGTGGGTTCATTAGTTACAAATAAGAACAGGGGTCAAAAGAAGCCTAGAATTCATTATGAACCAATCCCTCAAGTCTCAGGGAACACTGTTTGAGGTAGATGGGGTCTCACTGATGCACCCCATTTGCTGAGGGACCCTGAAATTCAGTTTATCTTTAGTTTCATACCCTGGGACAAGGTGACCTACTGGGCTAAAACATTGAAGGATATCCTGTTCCTAGGGAAAACTGGAACAGAGCTGAGGCTGTTCCAAGCAATTCCTCCATCATGTTTCAGGATGTTGCAGTCCATTCTACATTTTTTTTTAAGATTTTTAAAAAACGTTTAGGTTCACATATGCATATATCTTTATAATAGAATGAGTTATATTCCTTTAGGTATATACCCAGTAATGGGATTGCTGGGTCAAATAGTATTTCTGGCTCTAGATCCTTGAGGAATCACCACACTATCTTCCGCAGTGGTTGAACTAATTTACATTCCCACCAACAGTGTAAAAGTGTTCCTACTTCTCCACAGTCTTGCCGGCATCTGTTGTTTCTTGACTTTTTAATAATCACCATTCTGTCTGGTGTGATATGGTATCTCATTGTGGTTTTGATTTGCATTTCTCTAATGATTAGTGATACTGAGCTTTTAAAAATATGTTTGTTGGCTGCATAAATGTTTTCTTTGAGGAAGCGTCTCTTCATGTCCTTTGCCCCTTTTATGGTGTTATTTGTTTTTTTCTTGTAAATTTGTTTAAGTTCCCTATAAATTCTGGATATTAGACCTTTGTCAGATGAGTAGATTGCAAAAATGTTTTCCCATTCTGTAGGCTGCCTGTTTGCTCTGATGATAATTTATTTTGCCATGCAGAAGCTCTTTAGTTTCATTAGATCCCATTTGACAATTTTGGCTTTTGTTGCAATTGCTTTTGGTGATTTCATCATAAAATCATTGCCCATGCCTATGTCCTAAATGACATTACCTAGGTTTTCTTCTAGGGTTTTTTTTGGTTTTGGGTTTTACATTTCTGTCTTTAATCCATCTTGAGTTAATTTTTGTATAAGGTGTAAGGAAGGGGTCCAGTTTTAGTTTTCTGCATTTGACTACCCAGTTTCCCCAGCACCATTTATTAAACAGGGAATCCTTTCCCTATGGCTTGTTTTTGTCAGGTTTTTTTTACCATCACATGGTTGAAGATGTGTGGTTTTACTTCTGAGATCTCTATTCTGTTCCATTAGTCTATATGTCTGTTTTTATACCAGTACCATGCTGTTTTGGTTTCTGTAGACTTGTAGTATAGTTTGAAGTCAGGTAGCATGATGCTTCCAGCTTTATTCTTTTTGCTTAGGATTGTCTTGGCTGTGCAAGTTCTTTTTTGGTTCCATGTAAATTTTAAATTACTTTTTTCTAGTTCAGTGAAGAATGTCAATGGCAGTTTGATGGAAATAGCATTGAATCTATAAATTACTTCAGGCAATATAGTCATTTTCATGATATTGATCCTCCTATCCATGAGAATGGAATGTTTTTCCATGTGTTTGTGTTCTCTCTTATTTCCTTGAGCAGTAGTTTGTAGTTCTTCTTGAAGAGGTCCTTCACATCTGTTGTTAGCTGTATTCCTAGGTATTTTATTCTTTGTAGCAACTGTGAATGGGAGGTTATTCATGATTTGGCTCTTTGCTTGTCTATTGTTGGTGTAAAGGAATGTGATTTTTGCACATTGATTTTGCATCCTGAGACTTTGCTGAAGTTGCTTATCAGCTTAAGGAGCTTTTAGGCTGAGACAGTGGGGTTTTCTAGACATAGGATCATGTTGTCTACAAACAGAGACAGTTTGACTTCCTCTCTTCCTATTTGGATGCCTTTATTTCTTTCTCTTGGCTGATTGCCTTGCTCAGAACTTCCAATACTATGTTAAATACCAGTGGTGAGAGAGGGCATCCTTGTCTTGTGCCAGTTTTCAAAGGGAATGCTTCCACCTTTTGCCCATTCAGTATGATATTGGCTATGGGTTTGTCATAAACGGCTCTTCTTATTTTGAGATATGTTCCATCAACACTTAGTTTATTGAGAGTTTTTAACATGAAGGGATGTTGAATTTTATCAAAGACCTTTTCTGTGTCTTTGAAATAATCATTTAGTTTTTTTCATTAGTTCTTTTTATGTGATGAATTATATTTATTGATTTGTGTATGTTGAAACAGCCTTGCATCCCAGGGATGAAGCTGACTTGATCACGGTGGGTAAGGTCTTTGATGTGCTGCTGGATTCAGTTTGCCAATATTTTATTGAGGATTTTCACATCAATATTCATCAGGGATATTGGCCTGTAGTTTTCTTTTTCTGTTGTGTCTCTGCCAGGTTTTGGTATCAGGATGATGCTGGCCTTACAAAATGAGTTAGGGAGAAGTCCCTCCTTTTCAGTTGTTTCGAATAGTTACAGAAGAAATGGTACCAGCTCCTCTTTGTACCTCTGGTAGAATTCAGCTGTGAATTCTTCTGATCCTGGAATTTTTTTTTTTGGTTGCTAGGCTATTTATTACTATGTCAATTTCAGAACTTGTTATTGGTGTCTTCAAGCATTTGACTACTTCTTGGTTTAGTTCTGTGTGGTCAAAGTTATCATTTTTTATTGTGTCTATTTGAGTCTCCTCTCTTTTCTTCTTTATTACTCTAGCTAGTGGTCTATGTATTGTATTAATTTTTCAAAAAACAAGCACCTGGATTCATTGATTTTTTGAAAAATTTTTTGTGTCTATCTCCTGCAGTTCCACTCTGATCTTAGTTATTCCTTGTCTTCTGCTAGCTTTTGGATTTGTTTGCTGTTGCTTCTCTAGTTCTTTTAGTTGTGATGTTGGGGTGTCAATTTGAAATCTTTCTAGCTTTCTGATGTGGGCATTTAGTGCTATAAATTTCCCTCTTAACACTACTTTAGCTGTATCCCAGAGATTCTAGTGCATTGTCTCTCTTTGTTCTTATTGGTTTCAAAGAACTTCTTGATTTCTGCCTTAATTTAATTATTTATCCAGGAGTCATTCAGCAGCAGGTGTTCATTCATGAGCAGGTTGTTCAATTTCTGTGTAGTTGTGCAATTTTGAGTGAGTTTCTTAATCTTGAGTTCTAATTTGATTGCACTGTGGTCTGAGAGACTGTTATGATTTCTGTTGTTTCGCATTTGGTGAGCAGTCTTTTACCTCCAATTATGTGATTGATTTTAGAGTAAGTGCCATGTGGCAATGAGAAGAATGTATATTCTGTTGTTTTGGGGTGGAGAGTTCTGTAGATATCTATGAAGTCCACTTGATCCAGAGCTGAATTCATGTCTTGAATATCCATGTGAATTTTCTGTCTCGATCATCTGTCTAATATTGACAGTGGGGTGTCAAAATCTGCCACTATTATTGTGTGGAAGTCTAAGTCTCCTTGTTGTTCTCTGAGAACTTGTTTTATGAATGTGGGTGCTGCTGTATTGGGTGCATATATATTTAGGATAGTTAGCTCTTCTTGTTGAATTGATCCCTTTACCATTATTTAATATCTTTTTTTGTCTTTTTTGATCTTTGTTGGTTTAAAGTCTGTTTTGTCAGAAACTAGAATTGCAACCCCTGCTTTTGTCTGCTTTCCACTTCCTTGATACATTTTCCTCCATCCTTTTATTTTGAGCCTATATGTGTCTTTGCACGTGAGATGGGTCTCTTGAATACAGCACACTGATAGGTCTTGACTCTACACAATTTGCCAGACTGTGTCTTTTAATTAGGGCATTTAGCCCATTTACATTTAAGGCCAATATTGCTATATGTGAATTTGATTCTGTCAGCATGATGCTAGCTGGTTATTTTGCACACCAGTTGAAGCAGTTTCTTTATAGTATCATTGGTCTTTGTAATTCAGTGTGTTTTTGCAGTGGCTGGTACAGGTTTTTTCTTTCCATATTATGCTTCCTTCAGGAGCTCTTTCAAGGCAGGCCTCATGGTGACAAATTCCCTCAGCATTTGCTTGTCCGAAAAGGATTTTATTTCTCATTCACTTATGAAGCATCGTTAACCCAGATATGGAATTCTGGGTTGAAAATTATTTTCTTTAACAGTGTTGAATATTGGCCCCCACTGCCTTCTGGCTTGTTGGGTCTCTGCTGAGAGGACTGCTGTTAGTCTTATGGGCTTCCCTTTGTAGGTTACCTGGCCTTTCTCTCTGGGTGTCCTTAACATTTTTCCTACACTTTGACCTTGGAGAATCTGATGATTATATGTTTTCAGGTTGATCTTCTTGAGGAGTATCTTAGTTGCCTTCTCTGTATTTCCTGAATTTGAATGTTGGCCTATCTTGCTAGGTTGTGGAAGTTCTCCTGGATGATATCCTGAAGTGTTTTCCAGCTTAGTTCCATTTTCCCATCTCTTTTAGGTAATCCAATCAGTCCTAGGTTTGGTCTTTTTACATAGCCCCATAGTTGAATGTTTTGTTCATTCCCTTTCATTCTTTATTCTCTAATCTTGTCTGCCTGCCTTATTTCAGCAAGATAGTCCTCAAGCTCTGATATTCTTTCTTCCACTTGATCAATTTGGCCTTTGATACTTGTGTTTGCATCAAGAAGTTTTAGTCTTGTGTTTTTCAGCTCCATCAGGTCATTTATGTTCCTCTCTAAACTTATTATTCTAGTTAGTAGCTCCTGTAATCTTTTATTATGGTTCTTAGTTTATTTGTATTGGGTTAGAACATGCACCTTTACCTCAGCAAAGCTTGTTATTACCTACCTTCTGACGTCTACTTCTATCAACTCATCCATCTCATCCTCCATCCAATGCTATGCCCTTGCTGCAAATGTGTTGCGATCATTTGGATGAGAAGACGTACTCTAGCCTTTTGAGTTTTCGGTGTACTTTTTGTTGTTGTTGTTAATTATTTCTCATCTTCATGAGTTTGTCTGGTTTCAGTTATTAAGGCTGCTGACCTTTGAATGAGGATTTTGTGGGGACATTTTTGGTGATGCTATTGTTGTTGCTTTCTGTTTTTTTTGTTTTTCTTTCAATAGTAAGGTCCCTCTTCTGTAGGGCTGCTGAAGTTTGCTGGGGGTTTACTTCAGGCCCTATTCATCTTGGTCCTTCCGCATCTGGAGATGTCACCTGAGGAGGCTGGAGAACAGCAAAGATGGGTGCCTGCTCCTTCCTCTAGGATCTCGGACCTTGAGGGGCACCAACTTGATGCCAATAGGAATACTCCTGTATAGGGTGTCTGGTTACCCCTGTTGGAGGGTCTCACCCAATTGTGCACAGGAAGCAGGACCCATTTAACAAAACAATTTGCCTGTCCCTTGGTGGACGGTATGTGCTGTACTGGGGGAAACTTTCTGGTCTAGATTGCCTGGATTCCTCAGAGCTAGCAAGGGGAAAGAATAAGTCTGCTGATCCATGGAGATCATGGCCACTCCTCCCCTTAGGGACTCAGGCCCAGGCAGATAAGAGTTCTTTCCCTAAGCCCTGGCTGAAGTTGCTGGAGTTCCTGCAGGGAGGCCCCACCCAGTGAGAAGGGATGGATCAGGGTCCAGCCTAAAGAGTCAGTCTGGCCACAATCTGCCACAACTGGTATGCTGTGCTGGGGGGAATACCTCCTGGGACCAAGCTGTCCAGTCTCCCCAGTGCCAGCAGGGGAAAAATGGTAGCCTGGAGCTGTAGAGATGGCTGCTGCCCTTTCTTAGGGTGCTCAGTTGTCTTAGGCATCCAGCAGCTGCAAGCTTTACAAAAACAAGTAATGGGGAAAGGACTCTGTATTTAATAAATGGTGTTGAGATAACTGGCTGGCCATATGCAGAAGATTGAAACTGGAGCCCTTCCTTATACTGTATTAAAAAAAAACCCAAGATGAATTAAAAATTTAAATGTGAAACTTAAAACTATAAAACCCTAGAAGATAATGACCTCCAGCTCCATCCATGTTGTTACAAAGGACATGATCTCACTTTTTTATGGCTGTGTAGTATTCCATGGTGTATGTATCACATTTTCTTTACCCAGTCTACTGTTGATGGGCATTTAGGTTCATTCCATGTCTTTGCTATTGTGTATAGTGCTGCAATAAACATGTGCATCCATGTGTCTTTATCGTGGAATAATTTATATTCCTTTGGGTATATACTCAATCATGGGATTGCTGGGTTGAATGGTAATTCTGATTTCTTTGAGAAATCTCTAAAACTGCTTTCCACAATGTCTGAACTAATTTGTCTTACCACCAGCAGTGTATAAGCATTCCCTTTTCTTTACAACCTTGCCAGCATCTGTTTTTGTTGTTGTTGTTTGTTTTTTCACTTTTTAATAATAGTCATTAAGACTGTTTGGAGATGGAGATGGTATCTCATTGTGCTTTTAATTTGCATTTCTGTAATGATTAATTATGTTGAACTTTTTTTCATATGCTTGTGACTGTGTGTATGTCTTCTTCTGAAAAGTGTCTGTTCATGTCCTTTGACCAAGTTTTAATAGGGTTATTTGTTTTTTGCTTGTTAATTTTTTAAGTGCATTTTAGATTCTGGATATTAGACTTTTGTTGAATGCATAGTTTGCAAATATTTTCTCCCATCTTGTAGGTTGTCTGTTTGGTCTCTTGATAGTTTATTTGGCTGTGCAAAAGCTCTTTAGTTTAATTAGGTCTCATGTGTCAATTTTTGTTTTTATTACAAGTGCTTTTGGAGTTTTTGTCATAAAATCTTTGCCAGGGCAAATGTTCAGAATGATATTTCCTAAACTATCTTCTAGCATTTTATAGTTTTAAGTTTCACATTTAAATTTTTAATTCATCTTGGGTTTTTGGTTTTTTTCAGTACAGTATAAGGAGGAGCTCCAGTTTCAATCTCCTGCATATGGCCAGCCAGTTATCTCAACACCATTTATTAAATACAGAGTCCTTTCCCTATTACTTGTTTTTGTAAAGTTTGTCAAAGATCAGATGGCTGTAGGTTTGTGGCATTATTTCTGGGCTCTCTATTCTGTTCCATTGTTCTATGTGTCTATGTTTGTATCAGTACCATGCTGTTTTGGTTACTGTAACCTTGTAGTATAGCTTGAGGTTGGGTAATGTGAACCCTCCAGTTTTGTTCTTTTTGCTTAGGATTGCATTGACTATTCAGGTTTTTTTTGGTTCCATATGAATTTTAGAATAGTTTTTTTCTAATTCTGTGAAGAATGTCGTTAGTAGTTAAATAGGAATTGCATTGAATCTGTAAATTGCTTTGGGCAGTATGGCCATTTTAATGATATTATTTATTCCTAGGAGTGTGGAATGTTTTTCCATTTGTGTCATCTCTGATTTCTTTGAGCAGCGTTTTGCAATTCTCATTATAGAGATCTTTCACCTCTCTGGTTAGCTGTATTTCTAGGTATTTTATTCTTTTTGTGGCTATTATAAATGGAATTGCATTCTCAATTTGGCTCTTAGCTTATATGTTGTTGCTTTACAGGAATGCTACTAATTTTTGTTCATTCACCTTGTTCATTACTTTGTTCATTGACTTTGATGAAGTTCTTTAACAGGTCAAGAAGCTTATGGGAAGAGACTATGAGGTTTTCTGGGTGTAGTATCATAACCTCTACAAGCAGTGATAGTTTGACATCCTCTTTTTCTACTTGGATGTCTTTTATTTCTTTCTCTTCCTCATTGCTCTGGCCAGGATCTCTAGTACTATGATGAATAAAAGTGGTGAAAGAGGGCATCCCTGTCTTTTTCTGATTTTCAAGGGGAATGCTTCCAGCTTTTGCCCATTTAGTATAATGTTGGCTGTGGGTTTGCCATAGATAGCTGTTGTTATTTTGAAGTATGTTTCTCTAATGCCTAGTTTGTTGAGGATTTTTAACATGAAGTGATGGTGAATCTTATTGAAAGCCTTTTCTCTGTCTATTGAGATCATCATGTGGTTTTTGTTTTTAGTTCTGTTTTTGTGATGAATCACATTTATTGATTTGCATATGTTGAACCAACTTTGCATCCCAGGGATGAAGCCAACTTGATCATGGTGGATTCACTTTTGGATATGCTGCTGAATTCAGTTTGCTAGAAACTTGTTTGAGGATATTTGCTTCTATGTTCCTCAGGGATATTGGCCTAAATATTTTTTATTGCTGCGTGACCAGAGAATATGATAAGTATAATTTTGGTTTCTTCAAAATTTGCTGACAGTTTCTTTATATCTGATTGTATGGTCAATTTTAGACTATGTGCCATGTGCAGATAAGAAGAATGTGTATTTTGTTGTTTGGGGGTTGAGATTTCTATAGATATCTATGAGGTTCATTTGGTCCACTGTCAAATTCAGGTTCTGAATATCATTGTTAGTTTTCTGCCCCGATGATTTGTCTAATACTGTCAGTGGGATGTTGTAAGTCTTCCCCTCTTATTATATATCTAAGTCTCTTCCTAGGTCTCTAAGAACTTGCTTTATGAATCTGGGTGCTCCAGTGTTGGATGTGTATATATTTAGGATAGTCACATCTTGCTGAATTGAAACCTTTATTATCATATAATGTCCTTCTATGTCTTTGTTTAATCTTTGTTGAGTTAAAGTCTGTTTTGTTTTAAATTAGTATAGTAACCACTCCTTTTTCTGTTTTCTATTTACTTGGTAGATTTTTTATCCATCCATTTACTTCGAGCCTGTGGGTATCATTGTATGTGGGACGGGCCTCTTAAAGACAGCATACCATTGGGTCTTGCTTCTTTACCCAATTTGCCACTCTGTTCCTTGTAATTAGGGCATTTAACCTGTTTACAATTAAGATTAGTATTGATATATAGAGATCAAATTTCTTCCTTCTCTCCACTTGCCTTTAACGTTTTTTCTTCCATTTTGGCCTTGAAGAATCTGATGACTGTGTCTTGAAGACGGTCTTTTTGTGTAGTAATTCAAAGGGATTATCTGCAATATGCATTTCCTGTATTTTACTGTTAGCTTCTCTAGTGAGGGTGAGGAAATTTTCATTGATGACATCCTGAAATATGTTTTCTAAGTTGTTTGCTTTTTCTTCTCTTTCAGGGATGTCATGAGTTGCAAATTTGGTCTCATTACATAATCTCATATTTCTTGGAGTTTTTATTCTTTTTTATTGTTTTTTCTTTATTTTGGTCTGAGTTAATTTTGGAGAACTGGTCTTCAAGTTCTGAGACTCTTTTCTCAGCTTGACATGTATAGATGAAATCTTTACATATCAATACTAACCTTGATTGTAAATAGGCTAAATGCCCACATTAAAAGGCACAGAGCGGCAAGCTGGGTAAAGAATCAAGATGCGATGATATGCTGATATGTATAGATATGTATTGATTTGATCCTATCATGTTTTTAGCTGGTTATTATGCAGACTTGATTGTGTAGTTGCTTTAGAGTGTTATTGGTCTATGTACTTAAGTGTATTTTTGTGGTGGCCAATAGCAATCTGTCCTTTCTATATTTAGCACTTTGCTCAGGACTTCTATTTTTTTCTTTTTTGAGATGTAGTTTCAGTCTTGTTGCCCAGGGTCTCAGCTCACCACAACCTCCACCTCCTGGGTTCAAGTGATTCTCCTGCCTCAGCCTCCCAGGTAGCTGGGATTACAGGTGGCCACCACCATGCCCAGCTAATTTTTGTATTTTTAGTAGAGACAGGGTTTCACCACATTGCCAAGGTTGGTCTCAAACTCCTGACGTCAGATGATCCTCCCACTTTGGCCTCCCAAAGTGCAGGGATTATAAGTGTGAGCCACTGCACCTGGCCTACGACCTCTTATAAGGTAGATCTAGTGGTAATAAGCTTCGTTAACATTTTCTTGTCTGAAAAGCATCTTCTTCACTTACGAAGCTTAGTTTGGCTAGATAGGAAATTTTTGATTGGAAATTCTTTTCTTTAAGAATGCTGAATATAGGTCAACTAGTTTCTAAGCTTTAAGATTCTTACCTCATCTTGGTCAGTTCTACTGTTAATACTTGCAATTGTATTCTGAAATTCTTAAAATGAGAATTCTTTTCAGCTCTATCAGTTCAGTTTGGTTCTTTCTTAAAATGACCACTTTGTTTTTCATCTCCTGTGTCATCTTCTTATAAGCCTTAGAATCCTTGGATTGGGTTTTGACTTTCTCCTGACTCTTGATCTTCGTTTGTATTCATATTCTGAATTCTATTTCTGTAATTTCAGCCATATCATCCTGGTTAAGAACCATTGCTGGTTCTTCTTGTAGGTAAGAAGACATTCTGGCTTTTTGAGTTTCAAGGGTTTTTACACTGATTTTCTCACCTGTGTGGGCTGATGTTCTCTCAATCATTGAAGTTGCTGTCCTTTATATGCTTTTTTTCCTTTTATCTCATTTGATGCTCTTAGGAGTTTGATTTTGGTGTAAGATGGGTTCTGTTTACTGGCTTCATTTCTGGAAGAATTTAGGTGGCCAAGACTCAGTTCAGCAGTCCTGAGCTGCATGCTCTAACACTGGAAGGCTGGTATGAGCCCCCTAGCTTTGTTATCTGGTCCCTGGAGGTTAGGAGCCTGCTGCACTGGAGTTGCCTGAGTCTTCCCATACCACTATCCACAAAACTCCAATGAGTGGTGCCAGCTGAAGTGTTTCCATCAGGCAGTGACACTGGGGTCTATGCCCATTTGCATGTGCCAACAGCAGTAGCAGTAGCAGCATTATGGGATGCATGCTTGTTGGCTGTGGTGGGATGCTGGTGGGTGCAGGGCTGATGGCTTCTGTGTGAGCATTCACAATGGTGGCAATGGTGGCACAAGGGTAGGGGCAGTGGTATGGGCATCTGTGTGTGCATTTGCATGGTGGTAGTGTCGGCACAGGGGCAGGGTGCTGACAGGTGTGGTGCTGGCATCTTCCATGCACACATTCACACTGGTGACAATGGTGGGGCAGAGTGGAGGGTGGGGCTACTGCCTCTGTGTGCATGTTCACCACAGCAATGGTGGCACAGTGGGGAGGAGGAATGGGGTGTGCTTATACTGGCAGCAGTGGCACGATGGGTTTCATGCACACATGCTCACTGGAAGGGGAGAGGATGCAAAGTCCATCCGTGTGCACGTGTACCATTGGAACACGAATGGGGGTAGCAATGGGTGAGTGCATGCTGGCAAAGCAGAGTGAGGAAGGTTGTGGTGGGGGGAGGGTATGGGTAGGTTGGTGTGCATCATGGGGGGCACTCTACTGGAGCTCTCTGACAGTCATTTGTTGTCTGCCATCATAGGCCCCTGGGAGGCACTCCTGTTGGGCATCTGAGGTTGGACTGCAAGCTGGCATGGCCAGGCTGGGGCTGTAGGAGAGGCCAGCAGATGGAGGGCACTCAGGTCAGACTGTCTTTGTCTTCCTGGCAACATTGCCCTGCTCTGTTCTGGTCTGACAGTTTCTGTAAGGCTAAAGTCTTCTATGGGAGCCTGGTAAGCTTTGGGGGATGGGTGTACCTGGCCATGCTCCACTGCCGACATTCCTATATCAAACCCTCTAGGCTCTGAACAGGCTAGAGTCCTGCTCCTCCCACCTCCCTAAGCAACTCTCCCTGCCAGCTCAAGTGTCCATTGGTGTCATGGGATCTCCTGCTGCCAAGATTTCAGAGCTGTGTGGCAAGTATGGGTAACTTATTGTCTGCTCAGTTCACCCCCTCCTCAGTAGTCATTGGGGGCCAGGAACATTCCCCATGAGTTGTAGTCCTGTGCAGGGTTCCCAGCTTTCTTTCCCTTCAGCCTGGTATCTGTGTCCTCCCTCCACCCATTCTCAATGCCTTCCCTCTGAAGATCTGTTCAGAGTGCTCCAGGCTTCCCAATATCCCAGTCTTTTGGTGGCAGATGTTCTTCCTGGCTGCATCTAGTTGGCTGTCTTGCAATTAATGCCACATTCTTCATTCCTGAGAACTACAAGCAAGTAAGAGAGAAGTCATTCATTCCAGGGCCACCCAGAAAACTGTTCTGCAAAATGTGCCTTCATTTATGTAATTTTATTATATTTTCCTTCCGTTTCTTTCCTAAACATCTACAGCATATATTTCATCTTCTGTTACCAAAATATGTTTTTCCTAAATTCCTTTTCCTGTGCTTTGATCTCTTATTTTGCAGTAAAAAAAAAAAAAATTACTATTTCTTTTCTACTACTTACTTTGGACTTATATTTTACTTCTTTGTCTAACTTTTTAAGGTAGAATCTTAAGTCACTGATTTTAGACTTTTTGAAAATATAAGTATTTCAATTGTTGCATTTTCTATAAGAACTGCTTCAGGTATATTTGAGAAATTTCAGTATGTTGTAATATCATTATCATTTAGTTTGTAATATTTTCCAATTCTTGTTGTGATTTCTTTTTGCCTCATGGATTACTTGGAAGCATGTTACATAACTTCCAAATATTTGCAGATTTTCTAGATACCTGCTATCATTCTCTAATTTAATGCCATTGAGGTCAGAACAGATTCTGTATGGTTTCAGTTCTTTTCAACTTACTGTGTTTTTTATTTTCTTTTTTATTTTTTTATTTCAATAGGCTTTAGGGGAACAGGTGGTGTTTGGTTACATGGATAAGTTCTTCAGTGGTGATTTCTGAGACTTTGGTGCACCCAACACCTGAGCAGTGTACACTGTACCCAATGTGTAGTTTTTTATCCCTCACCCCCCTCTCACCCTTTACTCCGAGTCTCCAAAGTCCATTGTATCATTCTTATGCCTTTGCATCCTCATAGCTTAGCTCCCGCTTGTGAGTAAGAACATAATGATGTTTGGTTTTCCATTCCTGAGATAATTCACTTAGAATAATGCTCTCCAATTCCATCTAGGTTGCCGCAAATGCCATAATTTCATTGCTTTTTATGGCTGAGTAGTATTTTATGGTATACATAGACCACAATTTATTTATCCACTTGTTGATTGATGGGCATTTGTGCTGGTTCCATATTTTTGTAATTGCAAATTGTGCTGCTATAATATAAATATGTGTGTGGAAGTTATTCATATAGTTTTTTTTTTGCATAATAACCTCTTTTCTTCTGGGTAGATACCCAGTAGTGGGATTGCTGGATCAAATGGTAGTTCTACTTTTAGTTCTTTAAGGAATCTCCACACTGTTTCTTATTGAGTCTTTTTCATAACTCATCACATGGACCATCTTGGTGAAATAACCATGCACATTAAAAAAACATGTATTGTGTAGTTGTTGGGTATAGTTTTCTATAATCATCAATTAGCTTATGGTACATAGAATCATGGACCCCCAAAATGTAAACATACTTATACCCAGAATCTGTGAATATGTTACCTTATGTGGCACGGGAGAATTGCTGTTATGATTAAATGAAAGATTTTGAGATAGGGAAAAGTATCCTGAATTATTTTGTTGGGCCCAATGGAATTATGAGAATGCCTATAAGAGGGAGAGAGTAGAATCAGGGAAGAGCAAAAGGCAATCTGATGACAAAAACAGAGGAAGGTTGGAGTACACTGAACTGCTGGCTTTGAAGATGTAGGGAAAGGCCATTAGCTAAGGAATTCAAGGGATACCTAGAACTTGGAAAAGACAAGTAAATGTATTTTTCCCCAGAGCCTCCAGAGGAAGCACAGCTTTGCTAACTTCTTAATTTTTGACCTAGCAAAATTCATTTCGGACTTCTGACCTTCAGGACTGTAAATTTTTTTTTAAAAAAAAGTGTTGTTTTAAGCCATTAAAGTTGTAGTAACTGGTTACAGATATACATTGGTTATAGACCTATATATAGGTAAAGGTGATTGAAAGTGTTGTTCAAATAATCTATGTTTTACTATGTTTTTGTCTAGTCATTCTTTCAATTGCTCAGAAAGGAATGTTAAAATCTAACTATGGTTATGAAATTGTCTTTTTGTTCATTTAATTCTGACAATTTTTGCTTGATATAAATCAAACTTGTCCAACCCACGGCCCATGGACCACATGCAGCCCAGGATGGTTTCGAATGCAGCCCAACACAGGTTCCTAAACTCTTAAAATGTTATGAGATTTTTTTTTTTTTTTTTTTTTTTTTTTTTTTTTGCTCATTGGCTATCATTAGTGTTAGTGTATTTCATCTGTGGCCCAAGACAATTCTTTTTCTTCCAATGTGGCCAAGGGAAGCCAAAAGATTGGACACCCTTGCTAATGTAAAGCTCTGTTATTAGGTGCATACATACTAATGGTTGTATTCTCACTACAAACTACATCTTGAGCAATAGCACTCATCTAATTTAATTCTGTTATGTATAATTGGGGTCTTTCTCATCCATGCATGTTTCTGGGGTCAGCCAGAAGATTGTACATCATTTGTAAACAGAATTTGGGGCTTCCATTCTCTAACTCTTCCCTTTCTAGGATTTCTATCCCAATTTTTAACACTTATGATGACTCTGAACACTGTCCTGTTTTTTACCATACAGACTGGGGACTCTGTATAAAAGTTTTAAAGACCCCACTCACTACTGCTGCCTTGTGTCTAACTTTAGCTAAAATCTATAAAGAATGATTACTTCGTCCACACTATTTTCTTTTTGCAAACCTTGACTTATCTCCGAAACCCAGCTACTTTATTTATTTATTTATTTATTTATTTAGAGATGGAGTCTCACCCTGTCACCCAGGTTGGAGTGCAATGGCGTCATCTCAGTTCACTGCAACCTCTGCCTCCTGGGTTCAAGCAATTCTCCTGCCTCAGCCTTTCGAGTAGCTGGGATTACAGGCACACACCACCATGCCCAGCTAATTTTTTGTATCTTTAGTAGAAATGGAGTTTTACCATGTTGGCCAGGCTGGTCTCATAAACTCCTGTCCTCATGATCTGCCTGCCTTGGCCTCCCAAAGTGCTGGGATTACAGGCGTAAGCCAGCGTGCTCTGCCAATCCACCTATTATTAATTTAATCTAATCACAGGAGTGATATTTCATCATATTTCAGCACCCACATATATGCTGGTACATATATTGGGTATGCATATCAGTAGGTAGGAATATTGAAGGACATCTTAGAATTCTATCTACCACACACTGCTGTGCAAAAAGTAAAATCAGGCTTTTGCATTTTACTTTTCAAATACCACATCAAGAACAAGTCAGAGGCTTTATTTCCCTTTCTTCCATCTTATTATCAAACTCTAAGATAAGGTGATATTTAGATGTCTCTGCTCTTAGGGGAAAATATTCTGTGATTATTCTATTCACTTCTTAGCTATTTAACATTTTGGGGGTCATGGTATTTTTTTTTTCTTTTGAGCTATTTTCTACTATCTTTGCTTATCTCCTCTGGCTCATTCCCAATTGCGCATTGCTGCTTTTCTTGGCTTTATTGCCCTTTCCTTTGTTTTCTTCCTTTCTGAATAGTGTTTGGACAAGCAATACTTATACCTGTAAAGGAAACTTTAGTGTTTTGCAGAACCAAATTGAGTTCATTAGATAAAATCACAAGCATGAAGTTGGTTCCATAGATTTTTCAGTTATTTGGGAAAATAAAACTACTGTAATGTGTAACTGAAGGCATCCTAAATGTATTTACAATGATTTTCATAATTATTATGTGATCTGAGCTGCATACAATTTACACTGTTCTTTTTAGGAATGTTTTTGAAAGGACTTAGCACACTGCAGCTTTCATGTAGCTCTGGGTTCACAATGCTGTATTATTGCTCAAGGATTACCTTTGTGGTACCCAAGAACACAGGATATAAATCTTTTTTAAGACTACTTGCTTGTATATTAGAAGTTTGTAAAGATATTTTTTCCAACTAATTCTAGAACAGTAAAAACCTTGACAAGGTATAAAACCTGAGCTGGTTCTCAGGGTGTCTCCAGGAAATAAGATTAGATTCAAAATACTTCACTGATTTTAACATAAAAATTCTTATTCCACACCTACTAAGATATTTGATAAAACACACACACACACACACAAATTAGTAAAGAAGTATAAGTCCTGGCTTTCATACCTATGAACATTGTTTTCTTTAGTGCTACCAATGACTGTTTCCTTTGAACAAAACTTCAGTTGGGCTCCTTTGAGTAAGCTTGACTAGACCAAACCTTGGGCTTCTGTCTCTTCTTATAGAATCCTGCAAAGTCAATGTAGGTGAAATCCACCCCTGTTGATATCTTATTGTCCTGGCCTGCCTTCAGCAAAAATTCTTATCAACCTCTTATGCCTGATGTTTCCTCTTGGTGATTTTCTATCCACTGACCCTCACCCTGCACCTTGCTTTTAAATCCCCACTGTCCTTGTTGTAGTTGGAATTAAGTCCAATCTATCTCCCATTGCAAGACCCCGTTGCAGCGATCTCTGTAGCTATTGCCATGACCAACCTTGAATAAAGCTTGCCTTACCATCTTTAATGAGTGTCATGAATAATTTTTTCTTTAACAGTAGATACATAGATCTCTATCATTTTCAAATTGGTAATGACTTACTATTTGAAATGAGGAAACTGAGGCTATGAAACAACCAAACTAGAGGGTTGCAGTGCCAGAATCAAGCAGTTTAAAGAGGGCTTTACCCAGTTCAACCTTTTTCCATGGTTCCTCAAGTCAGGTAGCTAAACCTGAATATACATCAGTCAATTTTATAAGTCAATTCACTAGGTGCAACAGGACTTGCCTTAAAAACCATCTAATTGTAGAATAAATAATCATTCCCTAATACATAATTAAAGTTTCTGCAAATAAAAGCAAATCTACCTACTACTATGGTTCCTTGGATATTTCGATTTTGAAAATACTAGTTGTAATGGAAAGCCAACAAATGTACAGTATTTTTTTTTTTTTTTTTTGGCTTCTGCTTGAGCTACTTAAAAGTTGTAAGGTCTTGGGCCGGACACGGTGCCTCACGCCTGTAATCCCAGCACTTTGGGAGGCCGCGGTGGTGGTGGATCACGAGGTCAGGAGTTTGAGACCAGTCTGGCCAACATGGTGAAATCCCGTCTCTGCTAAAAATATCAAAAATCAGCCAGGCGTGGTGGCATGTGCCTGTAATCCCAGCTACTCAGGAGATTGAGGCAGGAGAATCACTTGAACCCGGGAGGCGGAGGTTGCAGTGAGCTGAGATCACGCCATTGCACTCCAGCCTAGATGACAGGGCAAGACTCCCTCTCAAAATAAATAAATTAATTAATTAATCAGTCAATTAAATAAATAAATAAAAGTTGTAAGGTCTTTTCCCAGTCCCAGGTACTCTATTCACTGAGAGTCAGGCTTTCTTCAAAGCATTGGTTGATCTATATACTCTTTCTGGCATGGTACTTAGACAACTGATATTTAGTTGAATTCTAAAAGCATTCAGTTGGAGTCACTTAAATCTGAACTTTTAATGCGGCAGATGAGGTGGAGATTCAGAGGGATTGGTTCTTATTGTGATTTTTCCTAGGGAATTACTTTTCTAATCATGATTTTTTCATCCATTTAGCTGGGGAAGAAATCCTAGACAAATTTTGACAAGTCTGTAAAGTGGTGGCAAAATATCTAAGAAATGCATACAATGTTTGAACATTTTAAGAGATTTATTTGAATCTGTAGTGGATAGAGATTTCGTGTTTTTTTCCTAGTAGAAAAAGTTTCTAAGGCTTAGTAAGCACTCATGACGTGTTGAATAAAATGATTTATTTGAATAAAATTCAACTATTTTTTACTACGAAATTTAATTTAGATGGTGAGATGCTTTGGATAAAGGAAAGTATATGGACTCAAAAAACTATTTAAATTCCCGTTTGGCTCCTTAGTAATTCTGTGTGTTCTTGGGCAAAACAATCACTCTCAGTTTGCAGTTTTCTTTTAAATAAAAGGAAATATTTAAGTGTCTAAATTGATTGTGTTAAGCAAGAAAAGTGTCTGTAAAATACCTAGAATTTTGTTTTTTTAAATTATAGGAATTTTATTAACAAAATTCTCTTCTGAGTCTGATATGTTACATTTTTGTATAATTTCTAGGTTACTGATTCTAGGAATTTAAATTACATAAGCGCTATCTTTTAAATTTTTTTCTAGACTAAAATATGACAAACTAATTTATGATCGAGGAGAGTTGTCTTCTCTGTAATTCTGTAAGCACCTCATCTACCTGCCTAAAATAGCTGGAAGGGTACACATATATTTGAACATAGTTTTATGCATCTTTACCAGTACCATCTGTACTTGTTTAATTTCCAAGTTCAGGTTTTCATTACTGGTATCATAATTTAATTCCTGCTTCCACTCTTTTCAATCTCTAAGCAATATCTTAAATCCAAAAAGAGTAAAATATTTAAAGAATAAATATGGTGAGGACAATCATAGATATTTGACAGAGGCATAATGACAAAGAATCATTGCCTTCTATCAATTTAATATGAACATTTCTATTCCACAAAATGAGAGTTCCTTTGCTAAGAGTTTAGGAGAAATATACTAATGTCATTAAAACTGTTAAATGATTTTAAGTAGTTGTTTAATAATATATTAAAGTCCCCTAAAACATTGTTTTTAACTTGCTGGTCTGACTAGAAACCCACATCTGAAAAAGATACATTTGAAGCTGACAGTCATAATCATAGAAAAGAATTAGCTAAGCATCATTAGTTACCTAGCTCTATGTTAAATGTTAGGAGAGATATAGAAGACAAATTTGGGTTCCATGCCATCAAATTTATAATAAATTAAAGAAACAAATAAGACACATATGAATAAATGCTTAAAATGTAGAATTGTTTATAAATAAAAAGTTCTGTGCTAGAAATTTTATAATTTAGGCATATAGAAAAGAGGGGATCTTGGATGTTTAGTAAAGAAGTTTAGGGAGCAAGACTTTTCCATGGAGGTCTCCAAGTTCTCAAGCCTAGATGGCTGGTGGACAGTAATGCCTGTGAAAAGAAATGAAGAAGGGATTTTTTTTTTCTTAACCTACCATACATAATGGGGACGTTTTATCCAAAGAAGTAAATACAACAGACAGGGACAAAGGTGTGAAGCTCAGTGAGAACTTCAAACTGAAGACTGAGACCTGGCAGTCATTACCAGAGTCTGAAAGATAAACATAAATATACTTTCCAAAAAATAAATTGAATATAATTTTTTAAATGTGAATTATACCACACTTCTTTTCTTCCAACATTTTAATTGTAGAATTAAAACATATTCAAACCATTTTGCTGTATTCTCTTAGACTTCTCCAGTTACTATAACGAAACACCATAGACTGGGTGACTTCAACAACAGATGTTTATTTCTCACAGATCTGAAGGCTGGGAAGTCCAAGAATAAGGTGCCAGCCAATTTAGTTCTCGATAAGTCTCTCTTTCTGGCTACAGACAGCCACATTCTACTGTCTTCTCACATGGCAGAGGGAGAACTCTGGTTGCTTCCTCTTCTTCTCAGGATACTACTCTGTTAAAAGATAAACGTAGGCACATTAAATTGTTAATGAATTTATTTGAGCATTCAACAATTCACAAATCAGGCATAACCAGTCAGCAGATGTTTCAGTGCTCCACTGAGGGGAGCAAGGAGAAAACTTTTCTAAGGCGTTCATGGAGGCAAGACAAAGAAAGTCTATTTGATTGGCTAAAGCAGAAAGTTCCTAGTTAGAGGTTAGTTTGGTGCTTTCTGATTCATTAAGGTTAAGTTTTATTTTACTGTTGACATTGAGTTGGGTTTTGGTTTGCTTGCACAAGAAACCAAGGTGCTACAGATTTCTCAGCCTAATAGCCTGCCAATTCATCTTTTTAATAAATTCTATTACAAGGGTCCCATCCTCATGACATTTAAATGTAATTATTTCACAATGGTCCCATCTTTAAATTCATCGCCTTGGGGGTTAGGGTTTTAACATACAAATTTGGGGGTGACAGGACACAAACAGTCAGTCCATAATGTGTATTGAAGAATGGTAGCCTCAGTATCTATGTAACTTGAAAGGCTCCAATATTATGTAAGCATGTAATATTTGTGTATAATTATACAAGGGTAAGGAAGACTCCAAAGCCTTCTGGGATAAGATATCATTTATAAACTTTGAGTCTGGAGATAATAGCTAAAAATGTCTAAAGTTTCTATTGCAGAGCCTATAGGCCCTCTTGTTAATGAAGTTTCCATAATAGTATTTTTCCCTACCAAAAGGTTAGGTCTTTTACTGATAGAATTGAATATATTAAGAGGCAAATGAGGCTGAAAGCACCTCCTCTACCACCTTATAATAAGCACACTGAAGTAAGACCTTAAATGATCCTTTTCTGCTCAATGGCCTGGAAGCCAGTGTCTTCAGTGGGTCCTGGTTCCGGAGAAGTTCAGAGCTACACTGGAAGAATATGCAAAACTTCCAAGTCAGGATGTACATACTGTGCAAATATGTCCAGCTAGACCTAACCCTGATTAATTGCTTTTATTGAATGAAGCAAATTTTTTATTTGGATAATTTCATTTAAATTTTGTAATTAGGGCAAGGAGAGGATTAAGTAAATTGTACAAATATGAAAACTATAGCTTTAAAAATGGCTTTTGTGTTCTCAAATAATTTTAAGGGAAAAAAGTTTCTTCTAGCATGACGCACATAGTTCCTTAAAAATAATGGGATATCTATCAAGCTGCAAATTTTTTCTTGGCTGGAATTTATTGTTGGGGGCAATGCCCTTTTCATCTCTGCCAAGAAAAATATATTGAAATGAGTCCTTTTTTTCTTTTAAAGTTTGAGCTTGAAAAAATGACTTTAAAAATGAAACCATCCTAGAATGTGGTTTTTTAAAAAGCAATGGCTAGAAAGTACAGATTTAGAGAAGTGTACAATTTATGCTGTGGTAATAGCCAGCATTTTATAAATCTTGCCATTTACTTAGGTGAAGTTATTAATGTTATCTATTGTGGGTGTCTGAAGAATGTATGGTTAGATGCCAATAACCTCCTTTTGATTCCATTTAAATTATTCTTAGGATTACCCTAAACCAGTAGGAGAACAAAGAATTATGAGGCTAAGCTTAGAAATATCTAATAATAATGATTGTGAGAAATATATATCCTCAAATATATGAAGGAATACTTCACTGTCTTGGCTATATGAGAGAAAACAGGACATGGGATGAAGCCTGCAGGATATTTTTACATGCCCTGCATTGCTACTGCCTTTGCATTTTTGAGGAAATGACCCTTAATTAAATGAGCTAAATTAAATATTAAGTATTTAGCTCAGAACAGACAGCTTGCAATCAATAAATATCAATTTTTTAATCTCACATTTATGTCACTTGGTCAACTCAGCCATTGTTTGTTTAAATATATAACAAAGATGTTTGTACCACATTAAAGTTCATTTAATAATAAATTTTAGTTAAAATAATTAACAGTAAGCAACTCTAAGAAGATAACTTAAAATACAAGACATCTAAGGAAACCTTGCATCAGACTTAAAAGAATCAACATCAATTAAATGTATCAGAATACTCTCTAAATTCATGATTCAAGCAGCAAGAATTCATAACAAAAATTGAATGTACTTTTAAAGAAATCTTTAGATTTGGTGCAGAATTCCCTCATATGAAGTGAAAGCTGTGCAAAAGATGAGCCAGATGAATAGATTGAAATTGCTGAAACACAGTCCTGACATGCTCAGAGGGTCTTTTAACAAGTTATATTTTACTGCGACAGACAAGTCATTTTTCACACACATCAAAAACCATGGGGGCAGCAAGTATAGAGTAATATGTGACATATTCTTGATTAAGTTTGTCCTGTGCACATGTTTAACTCATTTGTGTAAGACAGCAATGTAGGCTATATATTTTTTCCTTTCTATTGCTCATGCTTTTCACAATCTGACAGTTGAGCTTGGCTATTTCATATATATTCTTCTTTGCTCATTATTTGAAGACAAATGTCACAGCTCACACTTCAAATTTTTGAAATATTATCAATCATTTTTGCCTCCTTAATGCAATTGTCATTTTTGGTACTTAATGGTAACATAAAAATTTTGTAACAGTCTTTAAAAATGATTTGTAAATTCATCACTCATTTTATGAAATTATGCCTCCTGCATAGTACCAAGGTGTTCACTCATTTTCCAAAATACCCTAAAGTGATACAGAGGAAAACAGACACAGTGACACAGGAGAGTCTGGAATCTTACAGGGCTTGTGTGTTGTGGTCATTTGTCCCCTTAGAATACTACAGCAGAGGCCAGGCACTGTGGCTCACGCCTGTAATCCCAGCACTTTGGGAGGCCGTGCGGGCAGATCATGAGGTCAGGAGTTCGAGACCAGCCTGGCCAACATGGTAAAACCCCGTCTCTACTAAAAATACAAAAATTAGCTGGGCATGGTGGTGCATGCCTGTAATCCCAGCTACTGGGGAGGCTGAGGCAGGAGAATGGCTTGAACCTAGGAGGCGGAGGTTGCAGTGAGCCGAGATTATGCCGTTGCACTCCAGCCTGGATGACAGAGCGAGACTCCGTCTAAAAAAAAGAGAGAGAGAAAAAAAGGATACTACAGAAGCTTATTTTACATTTACTTTATTTACCTCTGTCAAATAAAGGCTCTTGCTCTGTATTATAAAAAGATTCTTTCAGGTACATAGGGTGGCTTCTGAGCACCCATACATTGTCAGCAATTCCTTCAATAATTTTCTGGTAAAGAGACATTATCTCTGGGACGATAGGAGGCCTCCTTTGGTAATTCAGCTCAGGAGTTCAGCTCCTAAGCATTACTTTTATTTCTACCAATTTAATAAATGCTACTTAAGTTATCCTCGTCTGAAAAACTTGGGACATTGAACTATAGGTCTTAGTCAGAATTGCATATAAAAAGGCATAATTCCTTAGGGTAGTTTTCTCTAGCAAATAATAGCATAAATAGAAACAGTTTTTGGCCAGGCGCGGTGGCTCATGTCTGTAATCCCAACACTTTGGGAGGCTGAGGCAGGTGGATCACCTGAGGTCAGGAGTTCAAGACCAGCCTTGCCAACATAGTGAAACCCTGTCTCTACTAAAAATACAAAATTTAGCCAGGCGTAGTGGCAGGCATCTGTAATCCCAGCTACTCTGGAGGCTGAGGCAGGAGAATCACTTGAACCGGGGAGGTGGAGGTTGCAGTGAGCCGAGATCATGCCACTACACTCTAGCCTGGGAGACACAGCAAGACTCTGCCTCAAAAAAAAAAAAAAAAAGAAAGAAAGAAAGAAATAGAAATAGAAATAAAAGCAGTTTTCAGAAATTGTATCTGATATGTTCATATTAACATAAAATAATTATAATTATAGTAAATATTATGTATGAAAAAATAAATATTATGTATGTAAAATAATATCTATTATGTATGCAAAATAATAAATATTATGTATGTAAAATAAATATTTATTATGTATGTAAAATAATAAATACATTTTTGCGTTTATAAGAGCTACTAATGACAGATTATATACAAAAAGACAGTTTTCTTGTTAAGAAATATGAGATAGATAAATTGTAGTTACATCAATAACATAAGTATAATTTTGGAGAAAAATCTATTAAGTTGTAATAAATGAATTGCAAACATTTTAGACTAAACTGTGTCAAAAAATGATATTAGTCAAAGGAACTACTGGTTTTCCCATTGACATGTAAAATGCTTGAAAGTTATTAATATCTTCCTCAAAACAAGAAAAAGCTGAACAAACTGAAAATTAACTTTTCTTAGATCTCAGAGAATTGAGATCATAAGACGTGTTTAAGGAAATGGCCCTTCATTTCCTTAATGACCCTTCCACCACCTGGAATACTAGAGACAGGCAAATACAGACAATACTGATCAGCTCACTTGTGGCAGAAGCTGGGGGGCCAGTAACTGGTAGAAACACTTAAATGGTAACTTCAGCTCACTGCTGGGGGTTAATGGTGTGGACTAGCTTAATAGTTAAAAACTCCTGATGCCCCAATTTATGATGGAATCTCACACCTTTGTGGATTTTCCCTTCAGGAACTGCATCAAGTTTCTATGGTAAAGATCAGAGGTAAGAAGAATAAGAAACTTTGTGTTTGGCCAGAAGGAGGGGGAAAGAAGCATTTTGAAAGAAGGAAGGAAGGCTCACAAGAAAGGCCTTCCAAAGGAATAAACCAGCAAAGGGAAAAAAATGAAAGGAAAGGGAAAAAAAAAAAACTTTCCAGCAAAGGAAAAAAAGCTTCACTAGAGCCTTATTGGACTTGGGGGCAAGGTAAATTACCCACCTCCAGCTCCCTATAGCCTTTCTGTCTCACTTACAGGGAGGAATAAAAGGCTGAGAGTCAGGAGGATTGCTGGAGCCCAGGAAATGGAAACAATAGTGAGCCAAGGTTATGCTACTGTGCTCCACCCTAGCTCCACCCTAGAATAAGGGCTATCACTTACAGGGAGGAATAAAAGGCTGAGAGTCAGGAGGATTGCTGGAGCCCAGGAAATGGAAACAATAGTGAGCCAAGGTTATGCTACTGTGCTCCACCCTAGCTCCACCCTAGAATAAGGGCTATCACTTACAGGGAGGAATAAAAGGCTGAGAGTCAGGAGGATTGCTGGAGCCCAGGAAATGGAAACAATAGTGAGCCAAGGTTATGCTACTGTGCTCCACCCTAGCTCCACCCTAGAATAAGGGCTATCTTGCCCATGGGACTTGACCAGTCTGATCTGAGTGCCTTATCCAGGGTCCCTGCTTAGCTGAACTCTCTTACAGCATAGCCTCAGATGCCCAACCAGGGCACTTCCCAGAGGCCATGGGCCATGAGCTGTGGCTCTTTTATGGGCAGATCCTGCCTAACCATCAGAGACCTTCTGCATACAGGCCCCCAACAGTGTGCACACACTTGTGGCCTCCCCAAACTGCTTTGCCAGTTCACACTCTCCCACAACCTCCACCCACTGCTTTGCAAGCACACATGTGGACCCTGCCACTATGGCCCCGATTAAGCACTTTTGCTAGCATTCCTCACTGAAGTATTGTTGCCAACAGCCTTGGAACAGCATGGTCCCTCCAGTGCAGCAGGTGTTTAACCTTGAGGGGCCAGAGAACAAACCCATGGGCCTCGTCCCAGCCCCCCAGTGTTAGAGAACACATGCCAGGAGTGCTGAGCTAAGCCTTGGCCCCTGAAATCATCCAGAAACAAAGCCAGTAAACTAAAACAAACTTATACCACAGTGAAACCCTGAAGGACATCAAAGAATATAAAAGCAAAAAGCCCCATCAGAAGGAGAGCAACTTCAAAGATTACAGGAACATCAGCCTACACAGATGAGAAAGAAACAGTGCAAGGATTTTGGCTACTCTAAAAGTTAGGATGTCTTCTTACCTCCAAATGACAGCTCTAGCTCCCCAGCAATGGTTCTTAACCAGACTGAAATGACAGACATAGAATTAAGAAGCTAGATGAGAAGGAAGATCATCAAGATTCAGGAGACAATTGAAACTCAATCTAAGAAATCCAGTAAAATAATTCAAAAGCTGAAAGACAAATAGCCATTTTAAGATAGAACCAAATGGATTGGGTAAAGCTGAAAAATGCACTACAATAAGTTCATAATACAATTAAAAGTATTAAGAGCAGAATATACCAAGCTGAGGAAAGAATCTGAGAGCCAAAAGATTGGTTCTTTGAATCACCTAAGTCAGACAAAAACTAAAGAAAAAAAAATTGTTTAAATGAACAAAATCTCCAAGAAATATGGGATTATGTAAAGAGACCAAACATACAGCTACTTGGCATCCCTAAAAGAGAGGGAGAAAGAGCAAGCAATTTGGAAAATATATTTCAAGATATGCTTTTGTCTACGAAAATGTCCCCAACTTTGCTAGATGGGTCAACATTAAAATTCAGGAAATTCAGAGAACTGTGATGAGATATTATACAAGATGACCATCTCCAAGATACACAGTCATCATATTCTCCAAGGTCAATGCAGTAGAAAAAAAAATTAAAGGCAACTAGAGAGAAGGGGTAGGTCACCTACAAGGGAAACCTGTCAAATAAACAGCAGATCTTTCAGCAGAAACTTGACATGCCAGAAGAGATTGGGGCCCTATGTTCAGCATCTTTAAAGAATCTCCAACCAAGAATTTCATATCCAGCCAAATGAAGCTTCAAAAGCAAAGGGAAAATAAAATCCTTTTCAGACAAGCAGATGCTAAGGCAATCTGTTATCAACAGACTTGCCTTACAAGAAGTCCTTATGGGAGTGCTAAACATGGAAACTAAAGACCATTACTGGTCAATACAAAAACACACTTATGTACATAAACCATTGATACTATAAAGCAACTACACAATCAAGTATATGTAACAATCAGCTAACGTGATGACAGGACCAAATCCACACATATCAATATTAATCTTGAGCATTAATGGTCTAAACACCCACTTAAAAGGCAAAGAGTGTAAAGTTGGATAAAGAGGCAAGACACATCTATTTGCTGTCTTCAAGAGACCCATCTCACATGCAATGACATTCATAGGTTCAAAGTAAAGGGATGGAGAAAGATCTATCAATCAAATGGAAAGCAAAAAAAAAAAAAAAAATTCAAAAGTTGCTCTGTTCTTTTATTTCAGACAAATTAGACTTTTCAAATTTTTTATGTCAGACAAAATAGACTTTTTAAACCAACAATGTCCAAAAATAACAAAGAGAGAAATTACATAATGATGAAGGGTTCAATTCAACAAGAAGACCTAATTATCCTAAATATATATGCACCCAATACTGGAGCACTCACATTCATAACACAAGTTCTTAGAGACCTAGGAAGAGACCTAGATAACCACACAATAATAGTGGGAGGCTTCAAACCCCACTGACAGCGTAAGACAGATCATTGAGGAAGAAAACTAACAAAGATATTAACGACCTAAACTTGACAATGGAACAAATGGACCTAACAGACATCTATAGAACACTCCACCCAACAAGACAGAATACACATTTTCTCATCTGCACATGGCACATACTCTAAAATTGAGAACACACTCTACCGTAAAGCATTTTTTCAAAAAATTCATAACAAAACAAAATCTAACCAACCACACTATCAGGCCAGAGTGCAATACAAATAGAAATCAATACCAAGATTTCTCAAAACCATACAATTACATGGAAATTAAACAACTGGAACCTGAGTGACTTTTGGGTAAGCAATAAAATGAAGGGAGAAATCAAAACAAAATCTTTGAAACTAATGAAAATGAAGATACACTATACCAGAAACTCTGGGACAAAACTCAGGCAGTCTTAAGGGGAAAGTTCATAGCATTACATGCCCAAATCAGAAAGTTAGAAAGATCTCAAATTAACAAACTAACATTACAATTACAGAAACTAGAAAAACAAGAGCAAACCAAAACCAAAGCTAGCAGAAGAAAATAAACAACCCAAATCAGTCAAACTGAACTAAATGGAGACACAAAAAATTACACAAATGATTAATGAAATCAAAAGCTAATTATTTGAAAGAATAAATAAGATTGCTAGATCACTAGCTAGACTAACAAAAAAAACAGAAGATCCAAATAAACACAATCAGAAATGACAAAGGTGTGTTACCACCAACCACACAGAAATACAAAAAGCCCTCAGAGACTATTATGAACACATCTTTGCAAACACACTAGAAAACCTGGAAGAAATGGATAAATTTCAGGAAACATACAACCTTCCAAGACTGAACCAGAAAGAAATTGAAATTCTGAACAGACCAATATGAGATCCAAAATTGAATTCATAATGAAAAAACTCCACCAAACAAGAAATGCCCTATCCAGACAGCTTCATAGCTGAATTCTACCACAAACAAAAGAAAACCTGGTATCAATCCTCTAAAATTATTTTAAAACATTGAGGAGAAGGAACTATTCTCTAACTCATTCTATGAGGCCTGCATTGTTCTGATACTAAAACCTGGAAATAGGAAATAATGGAAAAAGAAAAATCCAGGCCAATATCCTTGATGAACATAGATGCAAAATTCCTCAACGAAATATTGAAAACCAAAACCAGAAGCACATCCAAATAATTCACCATGATCAAGGAAGCTTTGTCCCTTGGATGCAAGATTGATTCAACATATGCAAATCAATAAATGTAATTCATCACGTAAATGAAACTAAAATCAAAACAACATGATGATCTCAATAGACGCAGATAAAGCTTTTGATAAAATTCAACATCCCTTCATATTGAAAACCCTCAACAAACTAGGCATTGAAGGAACATCAAAATAATAGGAGCCATCAATAAAAATAAAACAAAACAACCACAGCCAATATCAGAGTGAATGGGCAAAAGTTGGAAGCAATCCCCTTGAAAACTAGAACAAGACGAGGATGCCCACTCACCACTCCTATTCAATATATTACTGGAAATCCTAGCCAGAGCAATCAGGTAAGAAGAGAAAGAAATAAAAGGCATCCAAATAGAAAGAGAGAAAGTCAAACTAGCCTTGTTTGCAGAGGATATAATTCTATACCTAGATAACCCCATAGTCTCTGCCCGAAGGCCCATACCTCTGATAAACAATTTCAGCGAAGTTTCAGGATACAAAGTCAATGTACAAAAAGTCAGTAGCACTTCTATATACCAATGTGTCCAAGTTGAAAGCCAAATCAAGAATGCAATCCCAGTTATGATAGTCACAAAAAGGATAAAATACCTATGAATACACGTAACCAGAGAGGTAAAAGATCACTACAATGAGAATTTCAAAACACTGCTCAAAGAAATCAGGGATGACACATATAGAAAAACATTCCATGCTCACGAATAGGAAGAATCAATATTCTTAAAATGTTCATACTGATCAAGGCAATTTACAGATTGAATGGTATTCTTATCAAACAGCCAATGACATTTTTCATAGAATTAGAAAAAATTTATTCTAAAATTTCATATGGAACCAAGGAAAGAGCCCAGATAGCCAAAGCACCCTAAGCAAAAAGAATAAAGACAGAGGCATCACACTACCCTACTTCAAACTATATTAGAATGCTACAGTAACCAAAACAGCATGGCACTGGTACAAAAACAGGCACACAGAGAATTAAGAATGCAGAAATAAAGCCACCCACCTACAGCCATCTGATCTTTGACAAATTCAACAATGAAAAACAATGAAGAAAAGACTCCGTATTCAATAAAGGGTGCTGTGATAACTGGCTAGCCATATGCAGAAGATTGAAACTGGAGTCCTTCCTTATACCATGTTAAGAAAGTCAAGATGGATTAAAGATTTAAATGTAAAACCTAAAATTATAAATCCCTGAAAAAAACTAGGAAATACCATCCTTGACTTTGGCCCTGGCAAAGATTTCATGACAAAGACTCCAAAAGCAATTGCAACAAAAACAAAATTGACAAGTGAAACCTAATTAAAGAGCTTCTGAACACTGAAAGAAGCAATTGGCTAGTAAATAGAAAGCCTATATTATGGGAGAAAATATGTGCAAAGTACACATTCCACAAAGGTGTAATATCCAGAATCTGTAAGGAACTTAAATCAACAAGCAAAACACAACCCTATTAAAAAATGAGCAAGGAACACGAACAGACATTCATGCAGCCAATAAGCATACGAAGAAATGCACAACATCCCTAACCATTAGAAAATGCAAATCAAAACTATAATTAGATGCCATTTCACATCAGTTATAATGGCTATTATTAAAAAGTAAAAAAATAACAGGCTGGCAAGGTTGCAGAGAAAAGGGACCACTTATAGACTGCTGATGGGAATGTAAATTAGTTTAGCCACTGTAGAAACCAGTTTGGAGATTTCTCAAAGAACTCAAAACACAACTACCATTTGACACAGCAATCCCATTACTGAATGTATACCCAAAGGGATACAAATTGTTCAACCATAAAGACACATGCACTTGCATGTTCATTGCAGCATTATTTACAACAACAAAGACATAAAATCAACATAAATCCCCATCAATAGTGGACTGGGTAAAGAAAATGTGATATATATATCTCTCACATTTATTCATATATAATGGAATACTAGGCAGCAATAAATAAGAAAGAAATTGTATTCTTTGAAGCACTATGAATGCCACTGGAGGCCATTTTCCTAAGCAAATTAATGCAGGAAAAGAAAACCAAATACCCCATGTTCTATAATCAGTGGGAGCTAAACACTGAGTACATGTGGACACAAAGGAAGAAACAATAGTACCATATGTATAATCTTCATTGTTAACTATGTAAAAGTGTTACAGGAAAGAAGCCCCAGTCCAGACCGCAAGAGAGGGTTCTTGGATCTCGCACAAAAAAGAATTCAGGGTGAGTCCACAGAGTAAAGTGAAAGCAAATTTATTAAGAAAGTAAAGGAAAAAAAAAGAAAGGAATAAAAGAATGGCTACTCCACAGACAGAGCAGCCCCAAGGGCTGCTGGTTGCCCATTTTTATGGTTATTTCTTGATGATATGCTAAACAAGGGGTGGATTATTCATACCTCCCATTTTTAGACCATATAGGGTAACTTCCTAACATTGCCATGGCATTTATACACTGTTGTGGTCCTGGTGGGAGTGTAGCAGTGAGGATGACCAGAGGTCACTCCCATGGCCATCTTGGTTTTGGTGGGTTTTGGCCAGCTTCTTTATTGCAACCTATTTTATCAGCAAGGTCTTTATGACCTGTATCTTGTGCTGACCTCCTATTTCATCCGGTGACTTAGAATGCTTTAACCATCTGGGAATGCAGCCCAATACATCTCAGCCTCATTTTACCCAGCTCCTATTTAAGATGAAGTTGCTCTGGTTCACACTTCTCTGACAAAACTGCCAGAAAATGAAATTTTTTAGGGGTTTACTTAGTATCTTGAATGATAAAACACACCAAAATGAATTTAGACCTCATTCTCCTTTCTTATTCTAATATTCTAAAGCATCTTCCTTGTGATTCAACTGATAAATGTTTTGAACTTCAAAAATCAAAAGATGAGTTCTTTGGCAATAAAGCGGAACTTGCTAATTTATAGCTGATATGTCTTAATGAATAAAACTCTGATTTATGAAATTTGAAAATATGTTTAAAGATAATTATTGTAATTTTTATAGTTTTTTATTAAATTAGTATATTATGTTATACTGTAAAATAGAATATATAAAAGTCTACTCTTATTATTTGTGATACTAATGTTCTATAAAAATACTACAAACACTGGATTAACACACACTGAGCCTCTACTCCTAAGGGAAATACAGGGTTAAGTTCCTATGAACCTATGGTCACATTTTTATCACTTAGTCAGTACGTAACTCTATTTTATGTATTCTTCTGTTTAAAGACAGATTTTAAAATATATATATTATTAATTTATTAACATTGAACTCATGGCCAACAGCATTTCAACTCATGCCTGAATGAACTTTATCTAACATGCATTTTTTTCCTAAATTATGTCACAGCCTCCTTGCACCTAGGAAACACTAGACAGCACTTCAACACTACAACTGAGGGCCATTAAAGAAGCGAAATCATCAACAACCAAAGCACAGAAATGAGAAAAAGAGGGCATTAGTTTATACTGATGAGAGCTAAAACAAAAAGGCAGAGCATCACCTTGTTCAATTTCAGCCGCACATCGGGCAACTCAAAATTTGCTTTGCTCTGTGCATGTCCACAAATGTTTAAAAAAGAGTCACAAGTATTGATTTTGGTGTTACAAGTAAATTTTAGTGAGTAGGCAAAATTGCAGATATGGAATCTATGAATAATGAAAATTGAAGATTGTGTGTTTACATATATGTATATGTGTGTATATACGTGTGTGTAAATAAACATGTGTCGAATAAATATTCTGCAGGAGATGTTTATAAGATTCTTTGGCTTTATGAATTCTTTTATCTTTTTTTTTTTTAACGAAATATCTTAGTGAATGGCCTTTCCATTTATCCAATGACCCACGTTGGTAACCAGGAGTGATCTTTGAGTTTATCCATATTATTGGATGCAATTAATCATGATGTGTCTGTTAAAAATTTTTTTGATTGTGTGTCACAAAATATCAGCAAAAAGTAGTTTGAGTATGGAGTGTAATTTATAATAAAGACTCAAGCATCACTCATGGAAATCAAAGTAAAAATCAAGTGGGCGTCTATATTGAACTGAAACCAAGTATTTCAGTATTTTCAGGTTCTTTTTCTACTTTTCTTGCTTCTATTTGTCTGCAATTCTTATCATTCATGCCTCTCATTAGATTACTTTTCTCCATAGTGAGCATAACAGACTATAGCCACCCACGTTTGGTAAATGAACAAAATTTGTAAGAGAATAGAGATAACATTGTTCCCACCCCACCCCCCAATAGGTCAGCTTCGCAAATTCATGGAGTATACCTTTTATTGGTTATAGGAAAGTGTTGAACAACTGTTGAGTCAATTTTCTGGAACAGAGTATTCTTAAACAGGATAAATTTTTATTCTACTAATATTAAATGAATAAGTTTTTGTTGCTAACCATATTAATGTCCCAGCTATTACCCTGAAATAATTTATGAAGCAGTCACAAAGGCAGTGTTTAAATATGCTGTAAGATATAAGGATAATTCTGCTATTAAACATTGATCAATCACATCTGTTATATATATACCCATCACATCTTAAATTTTTGAATTATGAGAGGTTGTACTATAAATCTGAAATTAAAACAACACAACTTTATTAGCTCAGATGCATTTTCATTACAAAAATGTAACTCATTGAGAATAATGCTTTTTTCTTCCTACTTAAACTGGAAAAGTTAGAAAGTATAATTATCCAAGCCCTTTATTTCAAGAAGTATCATTATTATTATTGTTATTATTATTTTTTTTTTTTTTGAGACGGAGTCTCGCTCTGTCACCCAGGCTGGAGTGCAGTGGCGTGATTTCGGCTCACTGCAAGCTCTGCCTCCCGGGTTCACGCCATTCTCCTGCCTCAGCCTTCCAAGTAGCTGGGACTACAGGCGCCTGCCACCACTCCCAGCTATTTTTTTGTATTTTTAGTGGAGACAGGGTTTCACCGTGTTAGCAGGATGGTCTCCATCTCCTGACCTCGTGATCCGCCCGCCTCGGCTTCCCAAAGTGCTGGGATTACAGGCATGAGCCACCATGCCCAGCCAAGAATTATCATTATTTTTATAATCACCTTTGATTAGAATATACTTTCATTTGGGCACACAAACCTAAAATTATATATGGTAAAGTTCTAAACTGAAAAAGAGTAAAGCTGTTTGTATAATCTTAATAGTAGCATTATCATCTATTAAAATTATATCAAGATTTAGAATTTGTTAGACAATTAATTATAGAAAACTTTGCATATGAGTAGATGAATGTATGTACTTTTCTCAAATTTTTTACCTTTTGGTAAACCATGTGTATAATTCAGTTTGTGCATTACATGTGTTCCATTACATATATACCAGGCTGGCTTCTATTATCATAGGGCCTCCTCTTATGAATTATGCTCCCAAACCATAGTAGCTATACTGACAAAAAAAAAAAAAACCCTCAACCCTGTAAAATATTTTTAAAAGTTTATTCTGAGCCAGATATGAGTAACAACAGCCCACGGCACAGTCTCAAGAAGTCCTGAGAAGCTGTGCTCAAGGTGATTGGGTTACAGCTTGATTTCATACATTTTAGGGAGACATAAGACATCAACTAATACATTTGAGGTAAACATTGGTTTGGCCTGGAAAGATGGGACAACTCAAAACAGGGGCGCGGAGAGGGTTATAGCTCATAGATGGATTTAAAGATTTTCTGATTGGCAGTTGGTTGAAAGAGCTAACTTATTATCTAAAAACCTGGAATCAACAGAAAGGAGTGTCTTGGTTAAGACAAGGGATTGTGGAGACCAAGGTTCTTATTACGTAGATGAGTCTCATAGGTGGCCTACCCTTAGAGACAAGAGTTGGCAAATATTTCCTATTCAGACTTTTAAAAGTTGCTAGACTTTTAGTTAATGTCTTCAGCGTTGGGAGGGACTGGAAGGGGGAAAGATCTAATTATGTTAATAAAGATTCTTTACAGATACAAATTTTCCCCCATGAAAGACTGCTTTGCAGGGTCATTTTAAAATATGAAAAACTGACATAATTGGGGGTAAAATATTTTGATTTCTTTATTTATCTGTCATGTGATATTATCTAGTATATCACATATCTAGTATGTGATATACTAGAGTCTGGCTGGAGTTTGGTATCTTATGGTTACAAAGAGTCTGTTTTGTCACTCTTATTATGATCTCGGTTTTAATGTTAATGCTGGTCAATTGTGCCTCAACTCCAAAGGGAGAAAAGTATAATGAGGCATGGCCTATCTCTTCCTTTCTATCATAGCCTGATGTAGTTTTTCAGGTTCCTTTGGGTCCCCTTGGCTGAGAGTGGAGTCCATTCGGTCAGCTGGGGGAATTTAGACTTTTACTTTTGGTTTACAGGTATGTGTTAAGGGAAAAAAAGTAAGATTTAATGTTAACATAATTAAAATGTGAGTATATTTCTTTGTATACATATAAACAAAAGGTACCAAATAGTAAACTAGTTAATTAACATCCATACAACTGACCACTTATTTTATTTACATATATAAAAACTTTGTTAGAAAAAGAAATTCAAATCAATAGTCATCCATATGTATAATTTATTATACTACACTTCCCCCCACTAGCTACTCACCTCAATTCTTAAAATTTAGTACTAATGTTTATGATGGAGGTTTACAGGTCATAACAACTAGCCTTTTGCTACTACTCATAAAAATAAACCCCTCAGAATCTATGCATTGTCTTTCGTTACAGTAGTGTATAATGTGGTTGGGGTCTTCATAACATTTATGCCATAGGGCCATATGTTGTTTTGAAATTAATCTTCCTTGGGGTGATTCATGTCAGTCATTTTAAGTACAAGCCTCAAGTTTTGATGGTACTCAGGAAAGATTTCTACCAAATGTCAACTTAAGCACTATCTGCAAGTGCCAGAAATTTTCCCAAGAATATTTTTGTTGTGAATTGAAATTCGGAACCCAGAGACTAGATTTTAAATGCAGGGAAAAACAGATAAGAGAGAGGAAGAGCAAATAATTCTCCCTGACAAGCACTTAATTAGCATCTTAATAGGGTATCTACACTCCTGAGAAGTTGTGCTGATGCATGCCCTATCTTAAAAGGGCACCATGCTAGAGTTTCTTTTCTCTTTTGTAAGAGGCTCTGGTTGTTTTTCTGCAATAGCAACTGAATGCTGAAGTAATATTTAGGTAATATCCTGAGAGATAAATCTCCTTTGCTGCTCAAAAGGCACTGGAATCATTAGAATAACTGTCAGGATAAGTGGCGAATTAAGTGAAGTAAACCTATTGGGAAGGGTTTATTATTACTCTGTTTTAGATCTATATTTTCCTTGTCTTGGTATTTGTGTCTTATTCTAGGTGAATAACAACATCAAGAAGAAAATGGAAGCTATCAGAAAAGCCTCTACCATCCCCACCACATCTACCTGTCTACCTGTGTGTGTTCCTAAACTCCAGCTTCTCTCATGAAAGAACTCTCCATGCATCTGGCTTAAGGTCATCCCATCCCTGATCTCCACTTAAGGTAATTGTTCCAGCAATTATCCTTCCCTCTTGCATCCTTGATTTTTCCTTTCCTAAGAAATCATACCATCAGCATACAAATATACTGTTATTTCTCCCATCTTAAAACAAAGAGCAAAAAGACTCCTCAAAAACCTTTGTTTCCACTTTCTCTTCTAGTTTGTGCACCATTTCTCTACTAATAATTGGAGCAAAACTCCTTGAAAGAGTTCCGCATACTTCCTATATTTCCCAATGTCCTCCTCCTATTTTCTCTCAAACACTTTTTATTCATTTCTTTTGTCCCCACTTCTCCCTCAGAACTATTCTTAGCAAGGTTATGATAACCTCCACGTTGTTAAATCCTACAGTGATTTCTCAATGCTCAATTTTCTTGACCTGTCAATACAAGTTAACAGAATTAGATTTCTCCTCCCTTTAACACTTGCTTCATTTGGCATCCAGGACACGACATTCACCTGGTTATGCCTTGTAAGTCCCTTTGCTGTTTTCTCCTTTTCTCTCAGGCATCTTAGTGTCAAAAGCCTCTTTTCTCTATTTTTACTTATTCCTTTGGTAATCTTATCCAGTCTCATGATTCAGAATATCATGTATATGCTGAAGGCTTTAAAGTTAATGTCTCTACCTTAAATCTCTCCACTGAATTTTGAGTCATCTGCCTACTTTGAATGTTCAATAAGCATCGCACATCTTGGGAGGATTCCTTGATCCCAGGAGTTTCAGACCCTGAAAAAAAAAAAAAAGAAGGCGGGGCATCTCAAGTTGACCATGACCACACTTAGTTCTTAATGTCTCCCAGAAAACCTGTCTTTCCTGTAGTTTTCCTCATCAAAATTTATGGAAACTCCATACCTTCAGTTGCCAAGGACCAAAATGGTTGGTTTTATCTTTGATTTTTCTGTCTTTTTCACCCCACATTCGAGGCAAATTCTATTGATTATATGATCACAATATATCTGTGAATCAAATACTTCTCATCTCCTTACCTACTACCACCAGTGTCTAACAACCCATTTCATGACTGTATTATTCTAATAGTCTTTTCATTGTCCTTCTTCCTTCTACCTTTGACCTCCACCCTACTTCAAGCCCTGTAGTTTATTCTCAAGAAAGCACCCAGGAATCCTGTAAAAAAAGAAAAAAAGTCCAATCATGTCATTCTAATGCTAAAAAGTCCATAAAGTCTTCTCATTTCAGTTGGAGTAAATGCTGAAGTCTTTAACATGACATATTAGACCCGATAGGACTCTCCTCTCATTTCTGCAACATCTTCTGCTATTATTTTTTTTTTCTTGTTCACTGTGCTTCAGCCATGCAGGTCTCCTCACTGTTACTTTATGCACCCTCCTGCAACAGAGCATTGGCTCTTGGTATTCCTTTTGCCGACAAGGCTCTTCACTTAGAGGTTCACGTGCTCAGCTCCCTTACTTCAGTCATGTCTCTAGGGTCACCTGCTCAAGAAAACCTTGACTGAACACTCTATTTAAGCTTTTACTATTCCCCAACTCCCTCTGCTAAGCTCCCTATTCTCCCTTGTTGCTCTATTTTTCTCTTTAGCATTTGCCACCATATTTACTTATTTATCTTGGTTATTGTCTACACTAGAATGTGATGGAGAATGGAAATGTTTCTGTTTTCTACACTGCCTGACGCATTGTGGTCAATTAATTTTTTTAAATAAAAAAGTAATACTTATTATTGCTACTTATTGGGTTTGCACACAAGATAAAGGAAATGATAGCTCAGTCTATCAGCAGCATGTTTACAATCAGGTAAGTTTGCTTGCTCATAGTCTCTAAGTCAGAACCCTGGTGCTACAGATTGAATGTGTCTCTCAAATTTCATGTGCTAAAAATGTAATCCTCAAATTTGTATGTTCACAAGTGGTGGAATATTTAAGAGGTAATCAGGATTAGATAAGGTGATTGGTGTGATGGGACCAGTGGCTTTATAAGTAAAGGAAGACAGACCTGAGCTGGCATACATGCTCTTGCCCTCTCACCACATGATGCCCTCTGCTATGGCTTGCTGCAGCAAAAGGGCTCTTGTCAGATGCAGACCTGTCAACCTGGGACTTCCTGACCTCCAGAATTGTGAGCTAAATAAAGTTGTATTCTTTGTAACATATCCAGTCAGCAGTATTCAGTTATAGCAACAGAAAATGGACTACGACACCTGTGTTTATATATATAAAAATATATTAACTGGTATGTTATTTTAACTGGTATTGTTATATTTTAGTGGTAGTATTAAGATATAATTAGGCAAATGGTGGCAATTGAAAATAGCCCGTAGGAAAGGAGAATAGCTCAGAGAAGTCTGAAAATATGAGGTATGCAAAATGTATTAGGCCGAGAGAGACAAGAGTATGTGACTGAAGTCATCTTCCTCCCACCCATGCCTGGGGCACTTGTTTTTGTTTTTGGATTTTTTTTTGAGACAGGGTCTCACTCTATCACCCTGCTGGCTAGAGCACAGTGGCACAATCGTAGCTCCCCTTAACCTTAACCTCCTGGGCTTGGGTGATCTACCCACCTCAGCATTCTGAGTAGCTGTGACTACAGATGTGCACCACCCTGCCCGTCTAATTTTTTGTATTTTTATTAGAGATAGAGTTTTGCCATATTGCCCAAGCTGTTCTTAAATTCCTGGGCTCAACCAATCTGTCCACCTCAGCCTCCCAAAGTGCTGGGATTACAGGCGTGAGCCACCGCGCCCAGCCAGGCAATTGTTTCAAAGCATTTTTTTCTTTTTACCCCTCCCTATAGTTTCCAGACTGATAAATTAACTACATAATTTATAAATTTATAATAACTGATAAATTACCTAAAATGTTACCACAGGTTGCACAATGTGACCCTCACTCATTATCTTCATGTTCCTGAAATTAGTGATACAAAGAACAATGTATAGCCAATTAATAGCTTATGTTATTTTAATGTAAACACTTGGTATAAAAACTTAAAAACTGCCCCTTTTTTTTCCATTTAAAACCCACTCACGATTTAATGAAGAGAATGGATTAATCCAAAAGAACGAATCTTCTCAAGAAGAAACTTTGTCAGCACTCAAAAGAAACAATGTTTTTTATATGTAGTTCTCATAATTGTTTGTGGTAATTAAAAAAAAATCATTGACGAATTTTGTTATGGTTTTCTACAGTTTTATAAACAAATGGTACGTCTCATATATAAACCAATATTTTTGTATCTAAAGTCAGTGTAATCTCAATGTCCTAGCCTTGTGTATTGTAGCCACTCATGAATATTTGTTGAATTAGTAAATAAAGATTAATACCTAACCTCAAAATATGAATCTAAGGAAGTAGGCATTCATATAAGTACAGCTAATATTTAGCTAAGAAACTTGTGTAAAATTAACATCATTGATAATCTTTGTGAGGTTAAGTATACACATGTGTTAAAGAGAAGAAGCATATTTTTAAGCCAAGTTACAGAACAGATATTCAAATAGAGAATGTTTTCTGAGTTTTTGTGAGCACATGAAATTATCAACCTGCAAAATGCCTTACTTCCAACTATAGACCGTATTAGGACTTTCACTGATACCGACATTTACTTTTAGGATTTCTAGGATTCTGTAGTCAAGTTTTAAAAGTTACTTTTGCAGCACAGTTAGACTTAACTTTGAATCGTATCTACCTGTCATCACTAAAGCAAAAAACAGCTGTAAGAATAAATAAGAGGAAAATATAGGTTCTCACTGTGAAACTGGATGACAGGAACCTACTTAAACAAGACAAAAAAAATTGACACTTTGGATTTTTTTCACTAAAATAAAAATCCATGAATTATACCACAGCAGGAAAAAAATGGAAAGTTCTCATAAGGCAGAAAAATGGCCACCAATTTCAAATGAGGAAAAAAGTGTCCTGTTTCATAGTAATTTAATTATTTAAAGAGAATATCTCAAAAAGGTTTTATAGATATATAGGCTAAAAGACTAAAACTCCAACAATTCACTTTGGGCGTTTTTGTTTCACTCTTATATTTGTTCTTCAAAGGAAAAAAAACAAGAAGAAGCAAACTCAAGGAAGATATTATCTATATACCGTATGATATAGTCCTTCCACAAATATGTGTAGATCACCTAAAATATGGCAGGCACAAGTACTTATTAAAAGCCTACTATTTGCTAAGTTGTGAACTAGATGCTGAAAATATAAGTACACACAAGACCAGTCGCTTATCTCAAGGAGTTTAAAGTATGCAGATGCCCACGTGGACACAAGATACAGAGATACAAGATACAGCATGTGCACTTGCACTTCCTGTCCTTAAGGAATCACCTTGAAAGGGTACCAGAAAGCTTTTAAAATGGTTCTCTTTAGAATCCTAAGCACATATTGTAATATTCCAAATGGAAGCATATGACAACTTCTCTATATTTCTCCTCTTTGCCTCAACTAAAACCTGGCTGGTCTTCAAATACCAAATACCTTCAAATAGTCCTTTCAAGAACAAGCTTATTCGTTGTCCCACACCCCAAATTCCTAAAGCAATTGCAACATTATCTCAATTTCTCTTTGCCAGTTCTAGATCATTATTTTTCTATATTTATGCAAGAAAAACCCCTTCATCCTTTAAAACTTACAGCATCCAAATTTGGTACCCTCTAAATTTTCTCCTTTCTGACATGTTTCTGATAATTCAATCTTCCCTCATATTCATTGAGGAGTTTGGCCCATGGTTTACATTCTTCTTTCCATCTTATTTTTCTTCATTCTTCTGGAAGATTTCCATATGCAAGCAGTGATTCTAACCAACCACCTAGTCACGATGTTTATTGTGATCTTCAAATTCAATCACTTCCATCTCTATTTTGGTTTAATACACACTCCCATCTCAGCACGCAGAAAGTTACCATATGAAAGCTCCCAACCCCTAAATTTTAAGGTTCTGTTCCACAATGCTTTCATTCATCTAACCCCCTTCTCTTCTAGCTTTCTAAATCTTTTTTGCCCAGAATCCTTGCTGAACTGAGATCTTTAGTCGCCCTGTCTTTCCCCTTATTGACTACCTTCTCTATGCTTTGGACATTTTGAAGTTCATAACTTCCCACGCTTTCTCTCCTAAATTCTTCATCCCATGTCTTTCTTTTGTTTATTTGTTTTTGTTTTTGTTTTGAGACGGAGTCTCACTCTGTCATCCAGGCTGGAGTGCAGTGGCGTGATCTCGGCTCACTACAATCTACACCTCTCAGGTTCAAGCAATTCTCCTGCCTCAGCCTCCCGAGTACCAGGATTACAGGTGTCTGCCACTGCGCCCTGGTAATTTTTGTGTTTTTAGTAGAAACAGGGTTTTGCTATCTTGGCCAGGCTGGTCTTAAACTCCTGACCTCAAATGATCCACCTGCCTCGGCCTCCCAAAGTGCTAGGATTACAGGTGTGAGGCACTGCCCCTGCCCGTGTCTTTCTTTTCTATGGTAGTTCCCAAACTGTCAGTCTTCCCCCTCACTTCATAAGCTCTCACATTGCTGCTGAGCAATGCCAGAGAAAATGTAACAACCACGTGGCTATTGGCAGTAAAAGTGCATGCTCACTGACTCAGGTCCTTCAGTCCAGATCAACAGAAAGCATTATTGGTCAGCTACTTCTCCCATTTCTGCTCTCCTTCTTCCAACTCCAACAAGTACCAAGACAATCTGCCGCCCCTCTCATCTTATGCTGACCTGGCTTTTTATTATCTGGTGCTATGCTTTACACTTCGGTGTGAAGTGTCCTCCCTTTATCATCATTATTTCATTTTCACTTTCAGAAAAAGAAATGCCAATAATCTGAGTCCAATGCATCCCTTTGCTCCATTATCTCTTCATGTGTTGGCTTCTTTATAGCATATGAATATGGTTATCGCTTCCATTTGCGGAAAAAAATTCCCTCCTTGACACTTTACATCATTATAATACCCAAACTTCTTTCTGGTTTTTTTTTTTTTTTTTTTGGCTTAAAAATCAAATTTCTTGAAAGCATAATTTATATGCATTCACTACATTTCCTCACATATCATTCACTTCTCATTTTCCAAGTATATTACTTCTGTACCCAAAATGCCCTCAAATATTTGGGGCCTTTGCTATGCCTAGAATGCCTGTTAGTCACCTTTCACCCATAACCATACTCTGTATTAAGGAGTACTTACTACACTGCTTTGTAACTTCTTGTTTGTTTATGTCCTTTAACAAACATACAGGAGCCATGTTTTTCAAAACTATAGTTTCCCTGACAAACACAGTGCCTATATCATAGCAGGTGGTAAAATAATATTAAAATGAGTGACTAGACCACTACAGATAATAAAATTATAGTATATTATTTCTACGAATTCATAGAAATCTATCACTGAAAGGATGTTAAAATCATTTAACTTCCCAATTTTCTGATACCCCCAAAAGTATTACCTCTGTTAGTTACATACTAGTAACTTTATAAGGTAATTTCCCTAAGTCTCCTCATAGGTAAACAGACTCTAGTCCAACACTATTCTGAAATGCACTTATTCTAAGTACAGTTTTCAAACACACAAAGTGCATGGCACATTGTAAGTGAATGCTAATACACTAGACTGAGGAAGGTCACGGTGTGGTCATTTATTTAGATTATTTGATTCCTATCTTTGAAGTACTTTAGAGCAGTTATGAATGAATGAATAATGAATGAGTGAGTGAGTAGAGGCTAGATTTGCTGCCAATTGTAAAAAGTTCTAATTTTTCCCCACCTCATTTTATGTTATGAGTTGCAAATATCAAATAAGAAGAGAAAATGTTAAACCCTTTGTGATTTTGTGAGGGAGAATGAGAATGATAGGGGTCAGGTGTTATAATCAAAATAAAATGAATATGTTCCAAAGAAGGTTCTAATTTTATATGACTATACCAAGAAATAAAAGTTAAATTGATGAAGCATGAAAAAAATGTGCAGCACTGTTTTGGGTTAATTCTATCTCTTTTTATTTTCTCTGCATATTGGACTCTGCTGTATTTATACTGCTCAGGCTATCAGTTTCCTAAAGCAGTTGAATAAGCCCCAGAGGACAAAGGTATCACTCTGAAGGGCGTGAGCTTTGCAGTAGGAAAGCTGATGGTGTTCTATTCTGTTGACTCAGTATCTCCTCAGACCAGATGAGTGAGAGAAACAGCCTGTCAGCAAATTTAGTGCTACTGCACACTCTCATGCCAAATCAAGCAGGTCCATAGTATCTCCAGAATTCCCTATATATGGATAATATCTCCAACTGGAAGGTAAAGCTGAAAACACCATTAACTGATCTACAGAAATTTTCTCACTTTTAAATATGGGTTTCTATACAAGAGTGTATGTATGACCTCAGGCAATGATGAAATAGTTAATAGGATCGTGCTCCATAATATGTAACCTAAAGTATCCAACCCCATCATTTAAACAGAATCATACCCAAATGTCCAATGCCTAAAATAATAGGACTTTAAAATTAGAATTTGCAAACACAATGGCACTTCAGTGAAATGAAATTTCAGTGAAATGAAGCTTCAGTGAAAATGAAATTACATCTACGTGGTATATTCTGTGAAATAGAAAATGCTCTAGTAAGTTTTAGAAAAAGTTTCAGCTATGAAAAAAGGTAACAGAGCCTTCCATAATGAAGGTTTTCTGCTTAAGCCTTAGACAGCCAAACAACTAAATTGACATTATATTGTCCTGACTTTCAAATTATATAGGATTTTACTGTACTTTTCAAGTTCAGCAATATCAGTTCTGAGACTCTGTGTGGAGTCAATAAAATGAAGAACATTAAGTTGACTGTGGCTGTGCCTACTAAATATGCACCTTACAGGGACATTGTTTCCCCTTCAGACAGAATTTTATTGAAATATTTCAGAAAAATTGAATTCTATACTTACTAAAAGTTTCTATAAATTGTACTAGGATTTCTCACCATTAATAAATAACTGCATTAATAACTTTGATTCTAAAGAAAATTATTCATCTTTCTGCAGGTAGTGGAGTTTAATGAATCATCATTTGTTATACAATAACCTTTGTTTTATGTGTTTGAAGTAATTTTACCCTCCTGGTTTTCCCCACAAAGTTTCCAGTTTCCATAATGGTCTTTCTAATCACCTTCTCTGATTATAAAATTAAAAAGCAACAATCAGATACAATCAGAGAAATTTCTACTATTTTAACATTTTTTCTGATGTTACCTATTTACTACCAAATATATAAAGAATAGCTTAGTACAATTTTAAAAAGTAGACACTGACATTAAATTCAAAGTTTTTTCAACCTAATATAGGAAATAAGGATGCACTATACAAATACAGTATACAGTAGAATGAGACTCATGCCATAAAAGCAGTGGCAAAAACATCATGACAATTTAAAAAAGGGAAAGATAGTATCTATCTGTATAGATCAGGGCAGGCTTCACAGAAAAGAAAAGATAGGATTTTTCAGGCAACAATTGGAAGAAAACATTTTAGTAAGAACGCAGGCAAATACACACAGGTTTGATAATAATGGGTGTTTAGAGAAAGGAGTAAGTAGTTCTTTTCCTTAAACATAAAATACAAAGGTCAAAAATAAAGTTGAAATGAAATATTACGAATATTTTATCATCAAAAATATAAAAATATAATAATATATTTCCCTCCATGCTCACCTGCATGTATATAAAATGCAATCTCTGGTTAATTTTCTGAGACATTCTCTCAGGAAAATTGTATTCATTGAGATACCAGGTTCTGATAACTTGTAATGGGGCAAGTATTTTTGACACTACACCTTTTAGAGTATGAGAAAAATTAAATACAATTATTCAGTGACACTTGGACAGCAATAAAATGTTTAGAAATCCACTTGCATTTGAGCACCTACAGTGTTCATATAATTTGGCTCTGTTGCTGATAGTTGTCTCTTCAGTTTAGGTATCTAGTTTAAGGATCAGAAGACAATTAACAATTAATAACAAGCTCAAATGGCTTCCCTCTTATTGTTTCTATGGTATTAGCTGGTTGGTTCAGCTACTTTACATCAATACTGCTAAATCAAAACAAAGGTTAATAAACAAGAAGGAAAAGAACAAGGGTGTTTTTAAAAATCCACAGCATTTGGTTTTTTTCTTTGTTATATAATTATTTTCAAGGTTACAGAAGTGAGCAATTGCCTTAAAAATATTCCAGTTTCTTAAGTGATGTAAATGTCTCATGGATACAGTCCATTTCAATCATTGGAAAAGGAAACTTTTACCCAGATGTATTGAAACTACAATAGAGAGAAACATAGATCCCAAAACCAATTTAATTTTTATCTCACTTTACATATTCAGACCAACTTTAAAAGCCGTGTTTTTATTTTGTAATTTTTTGGCTTGTTTTTCTAACATGTTTAGAAACACCTTGATGAATGAAGAAGAGGGTGTCAGTGTGTTAGATATATCCTAGAACTTTCTTTTTTAACTTCTCTAAATAATTAATAATTGGGATTTAAATAGTATATGTTCATAAATGCCTTATCTTCCATTTTCCTACATAAGATTTATTTCAAAAAAACGTGGCTTGCTCTCACTGGATTTTAAATTCCAAAAAGAAGCAAAACAAATGATAAATTTTTAAAAATGCCATCATGCAATGATAATGTGTGGCAAAACAACCAATTATGTCTTACACAAAATATGTCTTCCAGTTCCACTTATAGTTCTCTTATCTTTAGAGATTATGAAAGAAGAGTAAATGCCAGTTTGTATATGACGATTTTCCTAAAGTACACCATTGCAATTGTGTTGATCTCATTTTGGAAATCTAAGAAGGAAAAGACACACTTCACTTGAGTACATGGATTTTGAATATAGCATGTATTAGACACAGTTTTGGACTAGCCTGAGATATCTGGCCGTAATAATGTTTTCATTTGAGATATTGTTACTTTTTCCCCTAGGTAAGATAAAAACAATTGAGCCACCAATAAATAAATAAGCAGCTGCCTTCCTGAATCTAATAAAGGTTCTGCTAAAAAGTAAGCACCCAGTTTGATACAACAACCTTAATCTCAAACTAAATTCAGCTAGCTTTTTATGGAAATGAGAAAAGAGTGACAATCATTACAAAAAATCTGAGCTATTCATTTATTTATTTACTTAAACAATTATTGAAAATTGACTATGTGCCTAGTATTGTTCTAGGGGATAAACCATAAGTTTAAGAACATGATTGATTTATTTCATAAAAGGGTAACTATTGTTACTGTGACATAATAAAAAAATATATATTTAGTCTCTGTCCCCTCATCTCCTTCTCCCTGCTTGTTTTCTGGCACAGAGTTCCTAAAACGCTTGGAATCTCCAAAATGATGTGTCTTTTTGTATGCTCATAAGATGCCTGGTATCAGGCGCTCCTGGATAGTCTCAGGATGGTGTTGGTTACCCCTCCTATGTGATTAGAGGGTTAGAACTTTTAGCCCCATCCCCTACCTCCAGGGAGGGGAGAGGGACTAGTATTGACTTAATCCCCCATGGCCAGTTACTTAATCAATTATGACTCTATAATGAAGCCTCCATAAAACACACACACACACACACACACACACACACACACACACACACACACGAGAACAAGGTTTGAAAATCTTCCAGGTTGCTGAACACGTGAAGGTGCTGGGAAGGTGGCATGGCTGGTGAAAACACAGAAGCTCTGCACCTCTTCTCACATAACTTGCCCTATGTACCTCTTCATCTCACTGTTTACCTGTATCCTTTGTAATCTCGTTTATAGTAAACTGGTAAACTTAAGTGTTTGCCTAAGTTCTGCAACCTCTTCTGGAAAATGATCAAACACAAGGAGAGGGTTATGGGAACCTCCTGTTTGTAGCCAAGTCAGACAGAAGTTTTGGTGAGCCCGGAGACCCACCACTTGAGATTGGCATCTGAGGTGGGAGCCAACCTTGTGGGCCTGAGCCCTTAACCTCCGGGGTCTGCACTAACTCAGGTTAGTACCAGAATTCAATTGAATTGTAGGATGTGCGGCTGGTATTGGAGAATTTTCAGTGTGGGACAAAAACTCCACACATCTAGTGTGTCAGAAGGAAGTGTTCTGGAAGTATGAAGTTTTGTCTTAATAAAAGTGTTTTCTCTATTTCTATGCAAGGAATTACTGATTACAATTGGGTTTAAGTCGATTATCTCATTATGTTTTTAATCTAATTACCACATCTATTTTTGTTTCCTTACTCTCCTTTCCTTCATTTGTATTACTCAGTGTATCTTATTACTAATTTTTGAAGTATCTTTATTTTCTCCTTTTTAATATCATTTTTGAAATGATTACCCTAGAAATTTTCAGATGAATTCTTAATTACAAATGACCTGGTTTGGGTAATTTCTTCACACATGTGCATCGGTTAGAACCCAACCGAAGGCTCAGTGTTCCTTTGCAGGTCTCTGTAGCCCTCACTTTCTGAAGCTATCTGCTCTCTAGTATCCCTTCTGGTGAGTTCTAGACTTCTTGCCTCCTCTCCCTGCCTGAATTCTAACTTTATCGCTTCAATTCAAAGAGACTGCAGTCTGTACCTGGTTTCATTCTCCCTCCTCCGTGGCATGAAAATTTTCTCCAGGCAGTAAACTAGGATAAGCATGGGGCTTACCTTATTTGTTTCCCTATTGTTAGGAATGAGTATTCTGAACATTTTGACGCTCCATGTCTGAAAAACATTGTTATTTCCATTGTTAAAGGTGATAACAGTACATCCAGGCCAAGTTACTCATCTTATTTGGAGGTAGAGGTCTCCCAGCGTGTTGTTTTCTTTTTAAAACTTTTTTAGTATTTGCTTATACATATATATATGCACATACATTGGCCACCTTTTTACTGTTAATCTACTTGTCTGTATGTTCTAAGTGAATATATTTTGTGAACAACACGGGTCTGTTTTTATCCAATCTGAAAATTTCTGCCTTGTACTTGGAGTGTTTAGACTATTTATAATTCACGTAATTATCGATGTTATTAGATTTACATCTAGTACCCTGCTATTTGTTTTCTATTTGTCTCATCTATTCTTTGTTCATTTCTTATCTTTGTTTTACTTCTTTAGATTGGGTCTATTTTGTCATTCAATTTTATCATCACAAATGGCTCATTCACTTTATCTTTTTTATTTTTCAGTTGGCCAATGGGTTACAATATAACAATTTCATATTATTACAATTTATTTTCAAATAATATTATATGAATTTGCATATAGCATAAGAACCTCATAACAGTATATTTTCATTTTCCTCCTCTGCCCTTCATGGTACTACTGTAATACTTTTTACTTCTATATATATATTATAAAGTACAGAGTAAATTGTTATTTTTAAGCTATCAATATTTTTTTACATAGATCAAATAATGAGAAGAAAAACTCTTGTATGTTTATTTATATTTTTACCATTGCTAATTGTGTGTGTGTGTGTGTGTGTGTGTGTGTGTGTGTGTGTGTGTGTGTTTAGATCCCAATTTCACTCTGGTAACATTTTCCTATTCCCTAAGTCTTTGGACTGAATTTTGCTTCACTACCCTCCCCCACCCAGTTGTATATATTGACGTTCTAACTCCCAGTACATATCAGAATGTTACTGATAGTTGCAGGAAACAGACAAATTCCTAGGTAGACAGGCGCAGGTCCCTGGTGAAACCCAACCTTCCAGCCAGAAGACAGCCTGAAGCCTGCAAACTGGGCTGCCAGTCCCAGGTAGTATCCGCAACCTGGATTGAGAACTTCCTCAATGCCTTTTAGCCAACCGAATGGTGCTTTTTCCAGGCCCACCAATGGATCAATCAGCATGCACTCCCCCATGCTGAGTCCATAAAAACCCCAGACTCAGCCACATGTTGGGACTACTTGCCCTCAGGTAGAGTGAGAGCTGTTCTGTCACTCAGTAAAATTCTTCTCTGCCTTGCTTACTCTCTGGTTGTCCATGTAACCTCATTCTTCTTGGGACAAGAACCCGGAACCTGCCAAACAGAACATGGGAAAGGAACTGTAACACTGTACCCCGCCTGCTCTCTGACAGTGCCGGGCAGCCACCCCACATGACAGGAAGTGGCAACAGGGCTGGGCCAGCCCAGGAGACCTGGGCCAGTGGGACCAAACCAGCTGTAATAATAACAAGATGAAACACACCCCCCACCCACCCCATTTGCCACACTGAGGACAGAAGAAATGAACAAGCTGTGAAATGCTGAGGCTCCATGGTTGCTGGCATCTCCAAGTTTTCGGGCACTACCATGTTCCCCTCATCCAGATGCCAGCACCTAAGGCAGAAGCCATTTGCGGTACTCCTGGTCCAGCTGCAGCCTCACACAGAGCCTGAACCTGTGCCAGCACATGGAGCTGCCCACCTCACCACAGTAGCTGGCACTCTTGACTGTGTGCTGTGGCCAGACCCTGCGCTCACTCACTCACATGCCCCTCCCTGCTCTGTGCCTGGCTCACCCTAAGTGGGCATGGGATCTAGGCTAGTAATGTGGGCTGAGCGCAGCTGTCGGGCTGAGTGGGTGGAATAAGCCCAGCAGATATGAGTGAAACTTGAGCAGAAGCACCACCAGCCACAGAGGTTTCCGGCTGGCAAAGTGGCACCCAAAGGATCCTGTGTCATTACTATAGTTGGAGATAGGACCTTCAAAGAGGTAATTAAGTTTAAATGAAGTCAATGAGCAGGCCCTAATCTAATATGATTCGTGTCCTTATAGAAACAGAAATACCAGAGATGTATGCACACAGAGAAAAAGCTGTGTGATGGCACAGCAAGAAGGTGGCCATTTTGGAAGCCAAGATAGAAGTATTAGAAGAAACCAAACCTGCTGACAGCTAGGTCTCGGACTTCCAGCCTCCAGAACTGTTAGAAAATAAATTCTATTGTTTAAGCCACTCAGTCTATGATATTTTGTTATGGCAGTCTTAGCAAACTGATACACTAGGAATTTCCTTTAATAGTGTTTGACATGCATATCTGCTGGAGATTAATCTCACTATCTTTGTATGTATGAAAAATTTCCCCTTCATTGTTGAAAGATATTTTTGCTGGTAAGGAATTGTGGGTGGACTTTTTTCTTAAGTACTTTAAGACTGTTGTTTCATTGTCCTATGGCTTGCATTAGTTTGTTATTATCCATGCTTCTCTGTATAAAATGTTTCTTTTTCTCTGGCTGTTTTTAAGATTTTTCTTTTCATTACTGGTCTTAAGCAATTTGTGATGTCCCTTGGTGAAGTTTTCTTTGTGTTAATACCCCTTGGGATTTGCTGAACTTCTTGGACATGCAAATTTATATTTTATATCAAATTTAGAAAATTATCAGCATTAATATCTTTTCCATACTTTCCCCTTTTTCTAGACCTCTAATTATGTTTGTTAGGCTACTTGATAATGTAATTGATATGCTTTTTAATCCTTGAAGTGTTAATTTTTTTTTCTTACATCACTTTGAAATGTTTCCATGCTATGTCTTTAACATCATTGATCTTCTGCAGTGTCTAATCTGCTATTAATGTCTTCCTACTTTGGATTTTTAAATATCTTCCATTTCTTTCCTCATCATCATTGTATTTCCCTCTATCTTGTTGAACATATGGAGCATATTTTAAAAGCTATTTTAACATTCTTATTTTTTAATTTTATTGCCCCATTTTTTGCAGGTCTTCTATTGATTGATTTTTTCCTCTGAATTATTAATAATATATTTCTGTTTCTTTGCATACCTGTTAACTTTTTTGGATCAAATACATTGAATATAGTATGATTCTGATTGCTGTACATTATATATAGTATGATTCTGATTGCTGTCTGATGGGAACACAAAATAATTCCCAGTCCTGTTGTGCTCCAGATATTAGTTGGCCTATTACTTCCTGGTGTTTTTTTTTTTTTCTTTTTTTTTTTTTTTTTTTTGTTGTTTTTTTTTCCCTCCAGTCTTGGGTAAGTTCCTCTTGTGAATATACTGATCAGTACTTATGCAGGAAACTCTTATGTAGATTTCTAGAACTCACTCTGTGTGCAGTTCCAGCCTGTCTGATATTCTGAAATGAAATTCTAGCTCCTTGTCCTCCTCAAATACCGGGTTATTTCCCTTCTACTCATTAAGATTGCCAGGCTCTGTTGTGTTCCCCCTCCCTGTGCTGTGGCCTGGAAACAAACTCTAGATGGTAAGCTGAGGAAATCAAATGAGTCATCGTGTATATTTTTCTTCTATCACAGACCACAGTTTTATATCGCCTATTGTCCAATGGCCAAAAGCCCCTGTTTTATATATTTTGGCAACATATAAAAGAAGATCTGTGGTTGAGTTAGAAGATAAATAAATATCAACCAGACATGAATAAAGTAGAGTATGAGACTTTGTGTTTCCCATTGGGGGAGGAAGAAAAACATGTCTTTGGTTGTGCAAGGTATGGTTGTTTCAGGTTAGGAAGAAGCATGTTGTTACTAATTTTATCTGGAAGTTATACATGGAAAAAAAGGCAGTTATAAATTCTGAGTTGATAAAGTTGATAAAATATTGGAATGTGTAGGCAATGTAGAATTACATATCATATATATGCTATATATTTCCACTTGGAAAGCTGATTTTTCCAAAGAGCAAGCCATTAATAGATTAATAGCTTCCTCTCAGCCTAAAGCACTTTTTCGTTTTTTCCATAAGGGCTAGCACATTTAAAGTATTAAGAGATTTGGCATCATCAGCTTTCACCTTTTCACATGGGAATTTAAGATAATGAAAACAAGTAATAGTCTCCAGGTACCACTAAAGACGATAAAAATAGCAGGCCATTATATTAACAGTTAAAATTTTCCTCTAAAGAAAACAAGAAACTTGAACAGTTTTACTGGTCATCCAAAATTTCCAAGAGCAAATCATTCAATTCTTAAAAAAACTTCTAAGAATAGAAAAAGTAGAAAACTTTCTCTCATTTTATGATGTTTAATAATTTCACAACAGGAATAGTATGATAAGCAAAACTTAAAAGTTCTTTTCACTCATGAATAAAGATGTCAAATCCCTCAAATTACCAATAAACACAAACCAACACTGCATATAAAAAAGAGACATTATGATCAAATTAGTTTTATGCCAGAAAAAGGCAAATATGGTTTAATATTATAAAATCCAAAAAATTTATTCACTACATTTACACTTTAATATTATCATATCAATAGATGTAAATGCACAGATGTAATAAAATTATAATTTAATATTCCAGCCTCAGAATAACAACAAACAAAAACAAAAAATCTAACTACTTGATATCTTAAAAACATGCTCACTAAAATCTTGGATCAAAGATATTTAAAAATCATAAACTATAAAAAAAATCAAAATGAAAATACTGCATAGTTAATAATGTGATGAAAGCTTTATTTAGAGGTAAATTAATACACACACATACACACAACACACACATCTAGACCAACTTAAATATCTAGACAGTTACAGGTTAACAATATTTGTTAGCTTTACCTTGAAAAATAGCACACATTATTTATAATAGAAAGGTGATGTTAGAATAATAGCATTTTTCTAAAAGTCGTATTCAGTCTATAAACTTTGTAGAAGAATCACAGTGGCACTCAGCTATTTGTCTGTAAAAAAAAGCTGAAACAAATCCAATTTTAAAAATTAAAAAATAAAAAATAAAAGCAATGAAAGTAGGTTAGTCAGATATGCTTATTTTAACATATCTTTCTGTATTGTTTAGCTAGACAATTGAACAAAATATTTCTATTTTTTGACTAAATTACTGTGAGAAAGCCAAGTAATGCCTTTCAGGAGGCATTACCGTGTAATTAATTAACTTTAACAAATTATGATCGAATCATTAACCTCGTGAACTGTAAGGTCAGATAGTCTTCATACAATTTTGGAGGAAAAACCCTAAAGAGAAAGATTTCTTTTCTTATGCTACTATGTAGAAATAAACTACTAAGGAAATACAAGAAAAAAGAAATATTTTTCACCAGGTTTTTCTTGGACAGCCAACTAAAAGCATAATTTGAAAATGATAATTCTAAAATTCAATCACTGTTGTTATTTTTTTTTTTTTTTTTTTTGACTCGAGTCTCTCTGTCACCCAGGCTGGAGCGCAGCGGCGCCATCTTGGCACACTGCAACCTCTGCCTCCCGAGTTGAAGCGATTCTCCTGTCTCAGCCTCCCAAGCAGCTGAGATTACTGGTGCCTGCTACCAACCCCGGCTAAGTTTTGTATTTTTAGAAGAGACGAGCTCCTAATGCAGGAACAGAAAACCAAAGTTTCACCATGTTGGCCAGGCTGGTCTCAAACTCCTGATCACAGGTGATCCGCCTGCCTCAACCTCCCAAGGTGCTAGGATTAGAGGCGTGAGCCACCACACCCAGCTGGATGTGATTTTTTTTTTTAAGTAATTCTGGTATAATCTGACTATTTTATGTGTTAATTCTCTCACTTCGTTGTCGCAAGTGCTAAGAGAGCAAATGAAATATGGGCACATCAGATAACTTCTATTTAGTATTCTATCATATCTACTCACTTAAAATTAAGTGGAAACACCCATACTTGTTTTAAATTCTGATTCAAAGTGATGAGGATTTCGGAAATAGTAGGAATGACATGGACATAGGCCACTCTCAAGCAGGCTTGAGGTCTGATCCAAGACCTGAGATTTCTTTTCCAAACACGTAACTTTATTCAATCATATAATCTTACTTAGATCTTCCCCATGTTAAGGCTCAGATCTTCCCCTTAGTGAGTGAATAAATGTAACCCAAGTGTGTAAGGCTTCTTGTGAAGATCAGTTAAGTCAACTATAGTTTATTAAGTTTCTTCTATGTTGTAGACAGGTTAACATGAAATAGTATGTTAGATACTCTTGGCATATAGTAGGTGTTTTATACATAGAAATTAGGAAATGATAATGTTGTTTTGTTCTAGTAATGTCCTGCCATTGTAAGGGTAGAATGCAAATTCATGTTTAAGGAGGAAACAAACAGTAATTTTTCACAGCTATTATTTGCCAATTCTTTAAAAAATAAAAATAAATACATTAGATTGTTAAAGCAATTGTCTAACAAAAACCTAATTTAAAAAATAAAATCCCTTGGGTACACTAACATCTCAGACTTTACCACTATACAATTCATCTATGAAACCAAAAAAGTATTTGTACTCCAAAAGCTATTGAAATATAAAATATTAATTTACAAAATAAAATCCCATCTCCATTTTTGTGTTTAATTAGAATCATATGGTTGATGATTTTGTAAGACATACAAAAGAAAATATTTCCTTGTTTAAGTAAGTTTAGCCTATTAATGCACTTAATTAGAAAATTTTTTATTATTTCAACTACTCTCAAAATTTGCTGACACAATTTTCATTCACTTTGTGATTTTAGACACTTACAAGCACAATGTTGGAAAATAGTTCTTTGCTTTAGGATTGAGATCATGAAAATGAACTGCTAAGCTTTTTATTTTCTTCTTTTTTGATGGGAGAATAACCAAAAAATTATCAAAACTCAGGCTTAATTGTATAGAAAGCAATTATTATATTACACATTTATCCCTTATTACCAGGTAAGTTTTAAACTTCTCTTGTATATTCTTTCTTTTTTTAAAAAATTCATATATATATGAATTCTATATATGAATTATTATTATATATTATATATTATTATTATATATGAATTCATATCTATATATTGACATGGGGTCTCACTGTGTTGCCCAGGCTGGAGTGCAGTGGCGGGATCTCAGCTTACTGCAATCTCTGCCTCCCAGGCTCAGGAGATCCTCCTACCTCAGCCTCCCTAGTAGCTGGGACCACAGACGTGCACCACCAAGCCAGGCTAATTTTTTTGTATTTTTGTAAACAGAATTTTGCCATGTTGCTCAAGCTGGTCTCGAACTCCTGACCTCAAATGATCTGCCCACCTCAGTCTCCCAAAGTGCTGGGATTACAGGCATGAGCCACTGTACCCCAGCCTGTATTGCATATTCTTGATATTTGCAGGTAAACCACATCATTTATGAATTTTGATGTATGCATATGACAGAAAAATTAAAAACAAACAAAAGTGGTTTAAACAACATATACGTTTATCTTATTTTATACAAAAGAAATCCAGATTTGGCCAGTGGAAGCATATCCACAGTGTGATTAGAGGCCAGGCTTTCTTCTTTCTCCTCTGTAGCCCTTGCACATGGTTTCTTCAAGGTTACTTCATGGTATTAGATGGATTCTGAAGCTCCTGAAATCACTTTCATGACAGCACAAAAATAAGAATAAAGAAGAGAAAAGCAAAATGGGGACTTTCTGGAGATACAACACAGTGCTTAATATTTCATTGAACAAAAGTCATCTGGCCACAGAAAGCTGCAAGAGAGTCTTTTATTCTAGGTATCAATGTATTTAATGAAACCTGAGTTCTGATACTAGTATTTTTTGGAATAAGGTAGCTCTTCCTCCCACTATTTGGCATGATTTGGTTTTTTTCAGTCCTGTAGAAATTCTTTGAAACCTGTATGCTGTGATTAGTGATGGAAAATACACTGCAAAAAGTTTCAGATAGATGCAGATTAAGGCCATTTTATAGATTTGGTTAGAAGAAAACAAGAAAGTTCTTCTCTGACTGTTTCTGTTTCCTCATTAGAATATGACTGCCCATGTAGAATGCCCACTTAAAGCTCATGATGTTCCCTTTAAGTAAAAACCAGTCAGCTTACTCATATGATATTTCTTTCCAGCCACAGAAGTTTCTTCTGTCTTCATGTTAGAAGGTGAATTACTCATTAAAAATTTGGTTTGTCAGAGAATTACCATAGAAAGTGGCAGATGTAGAGAAATTGAGGATATTTGCAAACAAGTTTTTTTAATGAGTGATGGTAGTGTGGAACCATATAATCTAATGTGGTTTAAAAGGAAAACTAATATACAAGGAGACAGTATGGTAATGAGAAAATCGCGAGGTCAAGGAATTGGTCCTCAATGAAGTTGAGGAATTATTTCAGCAATGGTACTTTTGCAAGTGAGATAGAAAAGTAAAAGACAATCGTTGTAAAGCAATATGGTTGAAATACAGATGCTGTAGTTGACATAGTTTCTAGAAGAGAAGCATCTAGAATGTTGTTGGGTTCAGTCAGGCTGGTAGGGAAAATATTAGAGATAGTTACAGAGATAGACACAAATCTTGGAAGGCCAAGAAGTTTGCATAACTTTGGTAACAGATATGGTTGAAGACAACCTGATCTTAACCTTTAGTTAAATAAAGTAGAGTAGTAACAAAGGAATGTGGGGTAGTTAACTAGCTAGCTTGTTTACTCATGTGGTCTTAAGACTAACCTTTGATGTACCACAGGTGCTTAAGTGCTTTTTACTCGGGAAGTCCACAATGTCAATTACCCTCTAATGGTGTTGACTCAAGCCTTTGTGAATTAATCTTACTGAATAAATGTGAGTCTCATCAGCTGATTGGGCCATAGTTGCAACTGTTCACAATACTCAGCAGGGAATTTGTAAATGGCTTGGACACTCAGCTGAACTGGCAAAACAGATTATCTGTGTGTCAGTGTACTTTATTCATCCGTCGCTGGGTCAGGGTCTGCAGGCAGACCCCGGCAGCTGGTGCCCCTGTGTGAGGAGTGCTACCACAGGATTTGACCACGGGGATGATTTGTTGAGATGGAGATGGCAGTAAATGTTATTTAAAATGAAGAGGGCAAACCATGCATTATCAGCCTGTTGAATAGGTCTTCCTCTTGGATTTTGAATTCAATAAAAATGCTGATAGACAGGTAGATGTAGAAAACAAAATTGGTGGATCAGCAATTATAAAGTCAGATTGGGTAGAACTGGCTAGTGCGGAAGAACAAAAGAAAACCTCTGCTTGAGAAGGCTACAAAGAAGGCAATCTCCTCAGATCCTCAGAAGATTCTGAAGTGTCAGTTGGGACAAAGGAACTGGAGGGAATTTACAGAGAAGACAGAATATACGGGAACATACTGATCGTAGAACAGTATTTCAAGGACGTGATAGGGTTTGGAGAAGAATGGTGGGAACAGAAGAGGATATCGTTTTCTAGGCATCAATCTACATTGAGTTTGTAAAAACACTGATATCTGTAGTTTTTAGAACAGCAATACCACACAAAAAGAGAAACACAGAACTCATTACATTGTTCCGAGGAACCATCGATATGTGTGTGTCCATTAGTCCCCCAACAGAGTGGAAGGGTTTATAAGGTAGGGAAGCATTGATGGAAGGGAGTAAATAGAAGAATATCGAAAGAAGTATGAAGATGAGAGTGTAGGTGCTACTGGATGATCATAGTGGCAGTGATGATATAAATGGTGATGGGAAACAAGACAGAAACAATTATTTGTAGGAGGTGGGCATTCTGCATCAGGGTCTAGCTTTGTCATCTGATCTGTCGTTGGCACTGATAACTTCTGCTTAATACTTTCAAGCACATTCTCTTTCCTTATTTTGTTATCAAAAGATTCTCCAAAATATTATATTTGACATTTCTGTTCTAATCTTACTATAACATAGTGGTTAAGATTTCAGTTTTCAGAACCAAAAAGATCTGGGTTTGTATCATAATTCTTCTATTTATTGGCTATGTGACCTTGTCATGTTGCTTTACCTCCAGACAGTAATATGGGGATAATATCACCTACCTCATAACTTTATCCTGAAAGTCGTTGTGAAATGCCAAGCACAAAATGTGGTATACAGTAGTTGGTCATGTTAATTTTTATTAGCTGTTACTATTCTAGCCTAAGCCCTTTTTATGTTGATATCTCAGCAAGCTATTTGAATTATCTGCTTCTATACATTATTACTTGATTCCCAAAATTCCTCTCAGATTACTTTTCTAAAATTTTGCTTTCATTTTATCACTCTCCTGGTTCTGGTAGTGGAATAATTTACTGATATTGTGTCCGGAATTGTTGGGTTCTTGGTCTCGCTGACTTCAAGAATGAAGCCGCAGCCCCTTGCAGTGAGTGTTACAGTTCTTAAAGACGGTGTGTCTGGAGTTTGTTCCTTCACATGTTCAGATGTGTCCGGAGTTTCTTCCTTCTGGTGGGTTCACGGTCTCGCTGGCTTCACGAGTGAAGCTGTAGACCTTCGTGGTGAGTGTTACAGCTCATAAAGGTGGCGTGGACACAAACAGTGAGCAGCAGCAAGATTTATTGCAAAGAGCAGAAGAACAAAGCTTCCACAGCGTGGAAAGGGACCCGAGCGAGTTGCTGCTGCTGGCTTGGGTGGCCTGCTTTTATTCCCTTATCTGGCCCCACCTACATCCTGCTGATTGGTCCATTTTACAGAGAGCTGATTGGTCCATTTTACAGAGTTGATTGGTCCGTTTTGACAGAGCACTGACTGGTGCATTTACAAACCTTTAGCTAGACACAGAGTGCTGATTGGTGTGTTTACAAACCCTTAGCTAGACAGAAAAGTTCTCCAGGTCCCTCCCCAACCCAGAAGCCCAGCTGGCTTCACCTCTCAATGGCACTCGCTGTGGGACTTTGCGGCATCTAGCCCAGGCACTCCGGCAGCCCAAAGGGAGCTCATCCCCCAGTCAAGCCCAGTAGGCGCCGGCCGGCTGCGCCCAGTGCAGGGCCCGCTGAGCCTGCACCCATCCGGAACCCAGCTCCCCGGCTCCTGCCCGCGCCTCTCCCTCCACACCTCCTGGCAAGCAGATGGAGCCAGCTCTGGTCTCGGCCAGTCCCAGAGAGGGTCCCCCACAGTGTAGCGGCGGGCTGAAGGGCTCCTTGAGTGCAGCCAGAGCGGATGCCGAAGCCAAGGAGATGCTGAGAATGAGCGAGGGCTGCTAGCATGTTGTCACCTCTCAATATCTCCTGCCTGAAATCCAGAATTCAGATCTGTGTTTCCTGGAGATGCTCAGCGTACTGAAAATAGTAAATAATTTGGAACCAAAAAGAACTGGATTCCAAGCCAGGCTTGACTGCTTACTAGTTGTTGTGCCTTTGGTATTTCTAATATTTATAAGCATTAATTTCCTCACCTACAAAATTGGGATAAACATTGAATTTCTACAGCCTGTAGTGATGTTTAAATAAAATAATATAAAATGCTTGGCACATATTAGACAGAAAAAAAACATTATATTTCTATAACTTGCCCCTATTCGTATCCAAATTTAACATAAATGGATTTAGACCTTTCCAAAACATCTTTACATAAACATGATTAGATTATTCCATTGTACTATAAGAGTTTATGTATTTCTCTCATTTATTGGCTTAAAAGTTATTTTTAGAAGTAATTTATGATTTTTGTTTTCTTTACCCCATTTTGAAAGCTCTTGTATCCAACCTAGTGTGTGGTGTCTGGTAAGAAATTAGTAAATACATAAATATTTCTTGATTGGATGAATACACAACTTTTCCCTGTAAATGGGAGAAAATATATAACTTCTTTCTCAACCCCTTAAGTGCATAGTGGGAACACTTCTGTAACAAAAGACAGATTAACAAGAGAAAAACAGACATTTTTATCTATCTGTGCAGTGTACACCACACGGGAGAAACCTCAGTTCAAAAGTTTCTCATAATATGATGGCTTAGGGTTCCTGCTTATATAGCATATCTAACAAAGAACAATCAATTTAGAAGTGTTAAGACAGAAATAACAAGTAGCTTTAGGGTCCCAAATGTGGGAAAAGCTGCATAAAAATAGTCAAAGTCTGTTCCCAAATTCCTTTGACTCTGCTGGTGCCACCTCTGGGCTGATAAGCAAGCGAGAACTTATATCTCCATCTACATGTGGAAAGAGAAGGCAGAGCCCCCCTGCATCTTTTTTATAGGAATGTTTATAGCCTGCCATAGGTAAGAAAGGGAAAGTCAGTCTTTTCTGTAACTGCTGCTTCCCAATTGCAGTAAGCTTAAAACTATGTATGTCAAAGAGGTGTATTTTGGGGTGAAATATTCTCCTTTTCTTCACTTGCAAAAATCACTATGAAGTTTTAACATTCTCATTTTACTAAAATAAATAATATATAACAATCAGTATCAGAATGATTAAATTTAGCATAATTTTTTTTATTCCATGAATTCTCAGAATTAAGCTGGAGGACTTTATCCTTAGCAAACCAATGCAGGAACAGAAAACCAAATGCTGCGTGTTCTCACAAATGAATTGGATCTAATGATGAGAACACATGGACACAAAGGTAGGAACAACACACACTAGAGCCTATCAGAGGGTGGATGGTGAGAGGAGGGAGAGGGTCAGGAAAATAACAAATGGGTACTAGGATTAATATACCTGGGTGACAAAATAATCTGTACAACAAACCCCCATGACACAAATTTACCTATATAACAAACCTGCACATGTACCCTTGAACTTAAAAGTTAAACAAAACAAAGAAACAGAAAAAAAAACTATTTTAAGCTCTACTGGAGTCATTTGTATGAAAAACAAAGAAAAGGAGAAAAGATAAAATAATTTGCAACTAACTGTGTTATCTAGAACAAGTGCCACCCTACTGATTGGCTTTAATTTAGATATAATAAAGGCATGTATGGTTTACCTTCATTTTTCAAATATTAGTGAATTTGATATGGCCTACAGTAAAGTAAATTTTAACTTCAAAGCCTCTGCTAAGAATTTTAATGGAAAGATGGTTCTGTTTTGGACAGGATACATGGCTACATACTACCTACTAGTAATAGTCTCTAAACCAGGAAATTACGTGGTTTGATCTAGAGATAAGGTGGAGAATGAAACTCATCTGGATAATAATGTAAATCTATATCTTCCATTGTGATTACAGACAACCTTTAAAAATTGTATTACCCGAGGAAAAAAAAATTATCTTTCTTTCTGAGTATTATGGCTTGTATAACCCCTAACGATTAAATTAATATTTATTCTAGAACAATATATATGTTTGTATATGTATGTTTCCTTATACTGTTAGAAATACTACAAAGCCACAAATTTGGATTGTCAATAGCACACATATTTTTTTTTTGATACCATAGAGTACTAATGGTCATTCTGATGAAAACTGAAAACATCTATATCCACATGCCTTAGTTGATTTTTTTCTAAAAACAAACAAAACAAACAAACAAAAAATTTAAAAAACACTCTAACATGAAACTAAACCAGTAAACAACTTTACTGTTTTCTTCAAGAAATTCCTACAAATCAATTTATCAGAGATAAGTTTGTTCACCTCAGTAAAGATCATTTATCAAAGGTTTACTTATCATGTCAACACCTCACCTCAATGCATTCACCAACCCTAAACTACTGTGTTATGAACATTGTCCAATTCTAATAATTTTCCTGCTTGAAAAAATCTGCTTTAAACTCATCCCATTTTGAAAACTCTTGAGCCAAACTCCAAATCCTCTAAATTTCCTCCAATACTAAGACTCTGTCTGCTTTACTACAATGAGTTTGAATACATTCTGTCAGTCTTTATGAACAAGGTGTCTGATGACACTTTTGGGAATTCAACATCAGGCATTTCTTGCCAGTGCCACAGATAATGCTGGTTTGTTTTTGTTTTTTTTACCTAATCGTATGTATTGCCTTAGTGAGGAGGAGAAGAGAAGGCCCAAAGTAAATACCGTTCTTGTGGGTAGTGGTAGTGTATTGCTAAGGTGACAAGGAAAATTTATTCTCTGACTACATCATAAAGCAGCATCTCTCCTTGAATGATGGAGCAGCGTGAACTTGAGATTGGGGAAAAGGCTCTGAACTGGTGTATGTCCACAGATGGAGACACCAGGCCAGGGTCAGTCTTTTCTTTGTACTCTGGCAACAGTCATATTTAGTATATTAAAGTCCTGCCATATCTCATTACCTACCTACCCTCTCTAGTTATGCCTATACCTTCAAGTCACAGACACCCACTAGTCTAGTGGTGTAGGGAATTACAGAGCTAACAGCAAATGACAGTATTGTCTTCCCTAATACTTTGCACTGAAGCTGAGACAACAACAACTTCACTCCTCCACAGAAGCTGGCTAGCAAGGAGTGCCCCACAGGGCAATGTAGCAGCACGGGTGGGCTCTGAAAAGGATGACAGATACCTCCCTCCCCTTTCTCACGTATGATTTTTTAAAAGTATTTTCACGAAAAAGGGCAGTAGAACTTTGGGTTAGAGTTACAAAGGGATAGTTACCACTTTATCTTTTCTCTGAAGTCTCTTCGTTTTTCTGTCCAGTAAAGAAGAAACAAGAAATTAACTGCAATTCCTGCTGTGAACTTCTATCTCCCCACAGGCCTGTGGATGTCTAGAGGAGACACTGTCATTATTTCCAAGGCAAAAGCAGAAAAAGGAGGTTGATGCTCAGGAAGAGGTTGGTCGAAGGCTGCTGGGTGGTTCTAGAGCTGTAACTAGTAATTAAAGTTCATTAATCAGCTGTCTCAGCCAGGGGCACTAGGCCGGCTGCTATTTTGATCAAACAATTATTTATCCTGATAAGGGGGGAACATGTGAGAAGCTTCTTGGCAGCAGAATTTGTTCCTTTATTTTAAAGCAAGATGATAAATTATCCCAGAAAATGGGTTCTTGTTTTTTTCTAAGAATATACATGCATATAAAAGTAATATGTGAAGTGCAACACTATAATATTAATACAACTCTTTCTAACTAAAATTAATATTGATTTTTTTAAAAACCCAGGATTAGTAAGGGTATAAATAATCTTTGCTACCTAGTTAATTATTCATTGTATGATAATCCCTGTTTCTGTAGTCATCTAAATGTTGATCTCCTCCACAGTGTTTTTTTGTGACTGACTAACGTTGGAAATGCAGAAGACCCAACGAGAAATGGAGTTTCCCCTTGTCTTTCAGTTACAAGGTTAACTATGTCTTTTAAATGGGTAGTTGGCATATGATACAACAAGGAGGGCACCAATGGATGAATAAAGAAATCAAAGTTCCTGCCTGGGCTCAGCAATAAATTCCTATGGCCTTGGGGAAATCATTTAACCTTGTGAACAACAATTTACATTTTTCTAATTCCCTAGATCAAGGGTTGGCAAACTTTTTTCCTTTTACTTAATAGTAAATATTTTAGGCTTTGCAGGCCATTTGGTCTCTTGCAACATCTCAATTCTGCTCCTGTATTGCAAAAACAGCTATAGACAATATGTAAATGAATGGGCATGGCTAAGTTCCAGTAAAACTTTACTTATGAACAGTGAAATTTGAATTACATGTCATTTTCATGTGTCATAAAATATATTTTGTTTGTTTGTGTCCCAACCACTTTAAAATATAAAAATGATTCCTAGTTTGTGAGCTGTATAGAAACAGGCTGCAGGCTGGATTTGGCCCATGGGCCATGGTTTACTAACCACTGCTCTAGATGCTTCCTAATGATAAAATTCCCTTTGGTTTTCTAGAGTTTGGAAAAGACAAAGAATAAGCCAATTCTTAGATGAATAATTAAAATGATAATAAAGAGGCTTTTAGAGAAGTTGTAAGAGACAGCGTGATGAAGCGATGTTTTTGGAAGGGTATAACAAGCAACTAGCTGAAGTGAAAGATTACACAGAAAAAAGGAGTAGCTCAAAAGAATAGACTTGCCTGGTTGATAACCAGAATATCTAAGCAACACATCTTTGACTTAAACTAAAACAGAAATTAAACCATAAGAAACTCTAGGGTCAAGTAGACATGACTGTAGACAGGACATTATGTTTGTACACATGCACATTTGCATGTATAGTGGTCATTGACACACAGAGCCACACAGAAACCCTTGAGTGACTATGAAGAAGATAAGACATGCCTAATAACATGTGCTTGTGAGAAAAGAGGAACAAAGATATGAGCATAGGATGAGTAGGAATAAAAGCATTTTAAGTAAGCTTGCAAAAGAGCTGCCTGTTGTATTGGGATAATTTGCTTAAGAATAAGTTACACAGTAATAGGTGTGGCAAGAGCAGGTTGGCATATTGCATACTGATTTCTGCATATATCAACAAGAGGCAAGAAAAAGTAGTATTATTTAATGCGTAACACCAACGCAGACATTCAGAAACTTGTATTCTCCTCTGTTTTTCCTCTCCAGTTGTCAGGTATTGACCGTTCCTGTGATATTTGATAAAAGATGTTTCACATTATAATAGAGTGATTTATAACATTCAAGTCCTTAAAACATTTATCAAATGCAAACAGATGTGAAACTATTGTCTTTTCATTTTATGTGGCTAAGATGGGTGATACTTTTTCTTGTAATGTCTCTTTCACATTTTAGTATCAGGGTTATGCCATCCTCATAAAACAATTTGGGGTGTGTTATCTCCACCTTTATTTTCTGAAAAAGCCTTATGTAAGACATTATTTCTTCTTTAGCTGATTTATAGATTTCAGTGATGAGCCATATGGGCCTACAGTTTTCTTTGTGGAAAGCTTTTGGTGATGGAGTCAATTCCTTTAAAAGTTACAGAGCTATTAATGAAAGAGTTGATACGATTACAGTTTCATCTACTGGCTCTAAAGGAGGTGACCTGTATTATTACTATCTGGGTAATGTGCTGAGTTATGTTTTTGATAGGGTACGACTGTTCTAATAAACATACTAGAGTGGCATGGGTCTGTGACTTGCCTTATTTATTCAGGCCAATGTCTTCAAAGACTTCAGCCTGATCAGCATGACTATTAATTTATTTTTCTATCTAGTAGCAATTTGATAAAGGCATTCCAAAAAGATGGCTTCCTTTGGCCATCTATGAAGATAAACTGTATCACAAAGGATTGAGATAGTTCCTAATTCATCAAAACTGTATTCACTCTGATATTATATTAAAGGTGAAGAAAATACAGACACATTGGAAATATTCTTACAAATGTATTTCATGAATAAAAGCAATAAATAGCACTGGAGTGTCTTCTATAGGGAGTTGTTTAAAGTAATTAATAAGTAGGATTCAACTAAGTGCCGATTAAAGAAGAAATATTAGCATTCTTCCTAAGAGTCATAACCATTAATTTGACTCCCCTTTTACTCATCAAATATACTCAGATGTGTAATAAAAATTAATAAGATATTGTTAGGGAAAAACTAATTAGATGTTGTTAAGAAAAGATTTTTACAATTTCACATGGAAAAAATTGCTGACAATAGGTTTTGTCTTAAAGTAGACAAAGAGAATTATTTTAATGGACTCAAAAATATTCATCAAGGAGAGAAGTCACAGACTACACAATAACTAGTCTTGTATTAAGTAAATGCATTAATTTTTCTGTTTTAGAACTCTGCTAGTAAGATTTAGTGGCATGGTATTCTAGGATTTTGTGGTTATTATTCTTATTTCACAATAAGCCACTCAGCCTTACCTGGGTTTAATATGTATGAGAGCTCGATTTTGGGAATGTTTGTCAAGGCATTCTTTAGAATCCAACAAATCAAGGAGCACCTATTAAGTTGCTGAGACATTAGTGCTCTCAGAAGTCTATTACTATGTTAAAAGTTATGGTGTATACTAAAATCAGTAAGTTCTCTGCCTTCAGTTTCCGTTAACAACAATGCCACTGCAATTCCTGATGCTTTGTAAAATAATGTTAGCTATGTTTGGCTGACATGCAGAAACTTGTATTTCTCTTCTGTTTTTCCTCTCCAGTCATCAGATATTGATCATTCCTGTGATATTTGATAAAAGATGTTTCACATTATAGTAGAGTGATTTATAACATTCAAGTCCTTAAGACATTTATCAGATGCAAACAGATGTGAAACTATTGCCTTTTCATTTTATGTGGCTAAGTTGGGTGATAATTTTTCTTGTAATATCTCTGTCACATTTTAGTATCAGGGTTATACCATCCTCATAAAACAAGCTGGGGTGTATTATTGCCACCTTTATTTTCTGAAAAAGCCTTATGTAAGACTTATTTTTTCTTTAGGTGATTTATAGATTTCAGTGATGAGCCATAAGGGCCTACAGTTTTCTTTGTGGAAGGGTTTTGGTAATAGGTTCAATTCCTTTAAAAGTTACAGAGCTATTAAAATTTTCTATTTCCTCTTTTGTCAGATTTGGTAAATTGTGTTTTTCAAGATTTTTTTCATTCCACTTAAATAATCATATTTATCAGGATAAAGTTCTTTATAATATTATCTTTTCAATATCTATGAGCTCTGTAATCATATCAACTCCTTCGTTGCTATAGGTAATTTGTGTTTCTTTACTTATTTCTTGATCAATCCTTGTTAAGATTACCAATTTTATTAATCATTTCAACAAAATATTTGTGGCTTTGTAAACTTACTCTGTTGTTTGTTCATTTTCTATTAATATTTCTAATAGAAATATGTACAGTAAAGACCATTCTGATAAGGTGTGATGGAAATGAGGAATATCTTACTGTGAACTGGAGTAAAAGCCATCCTTGTTATACTGTAGCAAGGAACTTGCCTCCATTGTGTCCATGTTCTAGGGTTTTATGAAGGTGAAACTTAAGAATGTTGAACTAGGATTTCTGGAAAAAATTTCTAAACAAATTAGAGAAGGAGCTGTGTGGTTACTTTGACCTGCTTATACTGAGATCTGGGAGCAAATGAATAATTTAAAACAGAATTTACAACTAAAGGGCAGCAAAGCCGAAAAAATCTGGAAAAGTCACAGCCTGATCATGTTAAGGGTAAAAAAGCAAGTTTGGGAGAGATTGCTGAGGGTGTGGCCCAGTGACTACTTTCTAATAAGATTAGCATGAAAACAAGAAAGATAAGTGTTGTGTGTTAGGACAACGGAGAAAAGGCACAGGTCTAGAAGGGCAAAATGGCTTTGTGAGATGGGCCTGGAGTTCCCTGTATCCATACATTGCTGCTCCCTGGATCCTGGCTGCTCCAGCCATGGCTCAAGTGACTCCAGGTGTATCTTGTGCCGCAGCTTTGGAGGGCACAAGCAATAAGCCTCCGCAGCTTCCACATCCAGGTAGTGCTAATTCTGCAGGTCTGCAAAATGCAAGAGAGGTAGGGATGTGGTGGTCCCCACCTAGACTTCAAAGGATATATCAACCTGCCTGGGAATCCAAGCAAAAACTTGCTCCAGGGGTGAAGTTGCCACAGGTAGTCCCTACCATGGCAATGTCTAGTGGAGTGTTGGAGTGCAGCCACTGCTGGGTTGGGCCACTGGCAGCATGCAACATCCACCTGGGGAGCTATAGACACTGGGCTCCAACTCATCTAAGTAACCACCTGAGCTGTGCATCCAGCACAGCCCTAGGAGCAGATCTGCCTAAGGCCTTGGGGGCCCAACCCCAGCCCCAGTATGTCCAGGAGACAGCATATGGAATAAAGTATCATTTTGCAGTTTTAAGATTAAATTTCTACCCTGCTGAGTTTTAGATTTGCTTGGGCTGGTCACTTCTTTCTTTTGGCCTATTTTCTCCTTTTGGAAATCAAAATGTTTACCCAATACGTCTCCTACCATTTTATCTTCAAAGTAGATAACTTGTTTTGCATTTTACAGGTTCATGGCTGGAGGGAGCTTGCCTTGAGACTCAAATGAGATTTTGAACTTTAAACGATCGAGTTGTTGCTGAAACAGGTAAGACTTTGCAGCTATAGGGTGATTGTATTTCGTACTTGAAAAAGACATGAGTTTGAGGGGCCAGGGGCCGAATGCTATTGGTTTGACTGTGTCCCCTCTGAAACTTATGTTGAAATTGGATTCCCAATTTGGCAGTGTTTGGAGGTGGGCCTACTGCGAGGTGTTTGAAACATGGGAGTACTGCCCTCATGAATAGATTAATGCTGTCTTAAAGGAGTAAGTTCTTGCTCTTGCAGAAATTAATTAGTTCCCATGAGAGTGGGTTGTTATAAGTGAGCCCAGCCTCTCATGCGTGTCCCTTTGCACTCATCTGCTCGCCTTACTGCTTGTCTGCTATGTTGTGATGTAGCACATGGCCCTAACTAAAAGGTGAGCAGATAACAGTATCATGCTCTTGGACTAGAATTGTCACCAGAATTGTGAAACAAATGAATCTATTTTCTTTATAAATTACCCAGTCTCAGGGATTCTGTTACGGCAACACAAAATGGACAAAGACAGGAGGTAATTAGCATTAGATAAGATCCTCAGGGTAGGAACCTCATGAGATTGGCAGCTTTATAAGAAGAGGAAGAGAGACCTGAGCTGGAACATTTGCTCTGTCTTGCCACATAATGTCTCTTGCCAAGTCATGACACAGCAGGAAGGCCCTCATTAGATACCTGTGCCATGCTCTTGGACTTCCCAGCTTCCAGAAGAGTGAGCTAACTAAATCTCCATTCTTTATAAAATTACCCATTCTGCAGAATTGAAATATCGCAACAGACAATATTTTAAGACAATTACATCTTCAGACAATTAAGGCATAATTAAAACAATAGAAATGTTGAACTTACAGAATGCAGGTGGTGGGATTATTGAGAAGGTGCTGGTCAAAAGACATAAAATTTCAGCTGGATAAACCTAGAGTTTACAAGGGTATTGGGAAATGGATTTTAAAAAAATACTTCTGGGAGAGTAATGTTGCAGGCTTTCAAAAAAGCAGTTTGCGTTAATTAAGGTTTTTAATTCTGTATACTTCTAGGGATTTATTCTAAGGGAATTCATATGATTCACATACAGATTCCAATATACTAATCTCAGCATTATGTATACTAATGCAAATTTGAAAGCAATGAACATTGATTTAATAAACTGTCACATTCATATAATACCATGTAGGTATTAACATAGTAAGAAAAAAAGTATTCTAATATGAAAAGCTATATTCATGACAAATTATTAATTTAAAATCAAGTTAAATGGTTTATTTATAATAATCCTTTCTTTCTCATATCTCTTTATATGCATGTAGACAGGATACCAAAATGTTAGCAGTGATATTCTCTGGGTAGTGGGATTATCAATTATAAATTTTCTTTTTGTATTATTTGTATTTTCTAAATTTCATAAAATAGGTATTATTTTATAATAAAGTTTTCTAAAATTGCATTGCATATATCATGTAGCTTACCCTTCTTTTTTCTTTTAATTTCCAATTTATGCATTTTCTAATCACAAGCAAGGTCAAGAAATTGAGAGAGAAGAGTTGGCTGAAGAATGAGATTCCCAAGGAAGATCAATAGTGAATAATGATAGAAAAGTAGAAGAAAGAGTCTAAACAAAGTTAGGGTAGACAGTGAATATCGATTGCTAAGTGGGAAATCATTGTGCTCAAGGAAAATGGGTATATTAGGAGAGCCAGAGAAGGATGATTGAGAGTACTGAGTTCTACATTGTAATGGTTTTTCACATATTTCCTATGTTTGACTTTACAGAAAGCAGGCAGTAGAATATAGCAAAGTTTCTCCAGATAAGATCCTGTCAACACTCAGGTGTCATTAGCCTTAAGCTGCATGAAGAGTAAGGCCAGTCATACCATTACACTATTGCAAGGTACACCAGTCTATGAGGGGCATCAAAACAGTGAGAAAGCAGTAATAATGCAGTTGGGGCTCTACAAATAATTCTAGTTGTAACATGGAAACATGTAATCTAATCCTCCCTCTGCCAAAGTGGAAATGATAATGATATTTCTTATTTAGTATTATGGTTTTGATTTAAAAATCCCTTTGTAGGCAGCAACTATTTCACTAGTAAATAAATATGAAGGAAACATTTAAATATTGTCAATTTGTAATTATGCCGCATTATTTTTCTGCCTAAGGGCCATAGTAGGTTGTAGTTCATTTGTGCATCCAATTACAAATCAGAAAAAGGGATTTAACAAGATTCCAGTAAAAACCTCCCATGCTCATGGATTGAAAGAGTCAATATAGTTAAAATGGCCATACTGCCCAAAGCAATCTACAGATTTACTGCTATTCCTATCAGGCTACTAACATCATTTTCTATACAATTAGAAATATTATTCTAAAATTAGTGTAGAACTTAAAAAGACCCTGGCTTGCCAAAGCCATCCTATTCAAAAAGAACAAAGCTGGAGACATCACATTATCACATTACCCAACTTCAAACTATATTATAAGGCTACAGTAACTAAAACAGCATGGTACTGATACAAAAACAGACACATAGACCAATGGAACAGAATAGAGAACCCAGGAATAAAGCTGCACACCTATAGACATCTGATCTTCAACCAAGTCAACAAAAATAAGCAGTGAAGAAAAGACTCCCTATTCAATAAATGATGGCTACGATAGCTGGCTAGCAATATACAGAATAAACCTGGACCCCTACCTATCACTGTATGCAAAAATTAACTCTAGATGGGTTAAAGATTAAAATATAAGACCTCAAACTATAGTAACTCTGGAAAACAGCCTAAGCAATACCACCCTGAACACAGGAACTGGCAAGGATTTCATGATGAATGAAATCATGTCCTTTGCAGCAACATGGAGGCAGCTAGAGACCATTATCCTAAGTGAATTAACACAGGAACAGAAAACCAAATACCACATGTTCTCGCTTATAAGTGGGAGCTGAACACTGGGTACATGTGGATATAAAGATGCAACAATAGGCACTGGGGATTACTGGGAGGAAGAAGGGGAGATTAAGTTTCAAAGCCAACTGTTGTGTATGCTATGTACTACGATTAGTACCTGGGTGAAGGAAACAATCACATCCCAAACCTTAGCATCATGCAATATATCCATGTAACAAACCTACACATGTACCCTCTGAATCGAAAATAAAAGTTGGAGTTATTAAAAAAAAAAAAAAAAAAGTAAGTCAGGAATTTCAATTCATGACCCTGTTGGAAAACACCAGATCTGAACATGCAGAAGCAGTCAACCAAATGTTTAGACCTACAGTATTTTTTTTAAAACAAGAAAAAGAGCATTATACAACTGTATTAGTCCCTTCTCATGCTGCTATGAAGAAATACCCGAGACTGGGTAATTTATAAAGGAAAGAAGTGTAATTGACTCACAGTTCTGCATTGCTGGGTGGGGCCTCAGGAAACTTAGAATCCTGGCAGCAGGCAAAGGAGAAAAAGGCACCTTCTTCACAGGGGGCAGGATGGAATGAGTGCAAGCAGGGGAAATGCCAGACACTTACAAAACCATCAGATCTCCTGAGACTCACTCATTATCATGAGAACAGGGTGGGGAAACCACCCCCATGACCCAATTACCATATCAACAACACACTTAAAGGAATGCAGATCCCTTAAATGACCTATTAAAGAAATGGAAATAGATTTTTAGAGACTGGTAGAGTAAAAAAAAAAAAGAAACATTGTAGAGGAGCTAAAATATGCACCTAAACTAAATCCATATTCGAAATAGCAAAACAAAATGAACACATCAGAGAATTTGAGAAACCATCCTAGAATATAGAAAAAAAAGTTGAAAAGTACAAAACATGAAAGCTATCAAAGAGAAGATGGTATCTGTGGGAGAAAAAAGAAAGATTTGATTCTCTATAGGTATTTCTGAAAAAGAATCAAATTACAAAACTTGAAACAGAAACTAAAATCAAGTATACAATTTAAGAAAAATTTACTCTCCTGGAAAATATACTGTTTACATTAATTGATTTAAAGAGAGTTCACACAACATTAATGAAAGGAGACTCACTTCCTGATCAGATATTGTAATTATAAGACTGCAGAAATATTAAAGGAGTATTTGGACTAAAAGAAATAAATCCAAGGCCAGGTGTGTGGTGCAGACCTGTAATCCCAGCACTTTGGGAGGCTGAAGCCGGCAGATTGCTTGAGCATAGGAGTGTGAGTGCAGCCTGAGAAACATGGCGAAACCTCATCTCTCCAAAAAAAAAAAAATAAAAATAAAATAAAATTATACAAAAATTAGCCAAGCATGATGGAGCATGCCTGTGGTCCCAGCTACTTGGGAAGCTGAGGTGGGAGGATTGCTTGAGCCCAGGAGGTCGAGTCTGCAGTGAGCTGTGATATGATTGTGCCACTACTCTCCAGCCTGAGTGAAAGACGAAGACGCTGACTCAAAAAAAAAAAAAAAAAAAAAAAGAAAGAAAGAAAGAAAAAGAAAAAGAAATGATACGACTTCAATGAGTGGAGGAACACCAGGGCTCTTGTCTTAGGCTGAATTGCATAAAATGACAGATACACGTGGAGTAGTTTCAAGGAGCAGAGAGTTTAATAGGCAAGAAAAAAGAAAGAAGGAAGAAGCTTCCCTGTACGGAGACAGAGGGAAAGGGTCTCCAAGGCCAAGAGAGGAAACCCGGAGTGAAGCGGATACCAGCTTTATATGAGGAGGCTGGAGGAGGCGGTGTCTGATCTGCATAGGGCTTAGGGGATTGGTTTGACTAAACATGTCATTCACATAGCCCTCGAAAAAATGGGCCCTCCCACCTAGTCTTTTAATATGCAAATGCAGGGCGCCATGATGGTCTACATACCTGCGGATATGTGGGGGCAGGCATGTTGCCAGGCACATGTGGGAGCAAGGGCAAGAGGACAATGGTGGGAATCAACATGTTTAGATGGAAGTAGCTTCTAATGGCCTGTATTTGCATATCAAAGGTTGCCTGACTGGCTCTTAAGAGCCAGGCTTTCCTGCTAGACAAGAAATGTTTCTGGAGCTGCTTTGAAAGAGACAAAAACTTTCCAAGAACCGTTTTTCCACTCTATCTAGGAAAAATAATTTCTTAATAACTCCTATAACAGCAAGAAAAAGAAAAGAAGTAAATCCAGGCCACAGTCTCAGTTTTATCTGAATATTGAAAGCCAGAAGTCTTTTTTATAAAGTTTTGAAAGAATTAGAGAGACCTCTATGTTTTACTTCTTCATTTTTAGTAATTGGAAAGACAGAATAGCACATCGTAGACATCAATAATAATTTTATTGAGTGAATAAATGAATAAAGATTAGCTAGTTGCCCATCATGTATGAAGGCAAAATGCATTGTTAAAAATTTAATATACATCCATACACACCCCTTAGAAAACAAAAGAAATCTCTTAACATTGTATTGATAAAGAGATGTATTCTAATTAATATTTTGAGCACTGGGAAGTCAAGTAGACCATTAGTTCAGTCAATGACAAGAGGGGCTGAATAGAATCACAGCTGCAGGTCGCCACACTAGAGAACCCAGAAGTTAGTTCAGATGTTGCTTCCCAAAGATGCTTCTGGATAAAACTTCAAAGAAAATCAATTTGTCATAACTTTTTTTTTACTCATTACAGGAATAAGCTGTAACTGCCACACACACACATGCACATACACACAAATTCCTCCTGAATTGACTCTGAGTTTAAAAAGTCAGTTTTACTATTCCTAGACAAATGCCCCATCCCTCATTCCAACACACATGGAATGAAAACATACTAAAATATGGTTATCTTAGATCCAGAGGTTTGAGGTCAATTATCTATATTTTATTTTCTGTGTTTTCTAGTCTTCATCAGGTATTTATATTGAATAATTCTTTGTTTTCAGAAAAGATATATAAAATTATTATCTGTAGTGCTAATTTCTAGATTTTGTCCCCTAGTGATTAAACATCTTTGAAATATTCATATGAAAACAGGAACCCAGTTTTTTATTCTATTGATAGTTTCAATTGAGAGTCCAATAAAATATCGAGGAAGCAAAACCTCTTTCGTACATGTTATGCTTGCTTTGGGGAGCTTTCTAGGCATACAAGTGCTGAAAATTTTTTCTCAGGTTTGCTTTTAAACTCTTAATTGTATCCTTCTAGCCAAATCAACAACTCGAATTAGATCTTGATCCTGCATCTGAGCTCCTGGTTCCATGCTTCCTTCCTTCCAAGCCTGAAAAGATGATCCCTGACTTTCACAATGCAGGGCATTTTCTAGAGTCTTACTTGATTCAGCAGATTTGCCTGAGAGTGAACAAATGAAGCATGAAAATTTATATGGAACTCTCTAACACAAGCACATGTTATTATATCATTAATAAGAGGAATTAAATCATTGGCTCTGCTGTTTCCAGGCTTCAAAGTCAATTTGCTTTTATTGTAGCTAACTGGCAAAAGAGAGAAGTCAAATGATCAGTTTACAACAGGAGATGCCATGTCATTTGCTACACAATCAGTCCTCTGTGTTCTGTCAATGAGGATGCACCAAAAGAGGTCACTTTCAAATTTATTGTTGTAATAAAATTTATTGACCTGTGATCAGTGGAAATGAGATTATACCAGCCCTTTCTTTTGTGAAATATAACTTTCCAAATATTATAAAAGCTAGAAAGTAAAATAAATATTTTTGTGTAGGGGAAAGTAGATTCTTCTGACCTACCATGTTGGGTTTCTTACCCTTGCTTCTATAGTCAGAGTCCTTTTGGCTGTATGTAATGATAGAAGGAAAGAGAGGGCTTGAGAATATCATTATAACTGAGTGGTTACTGCAGAAGACAAGAAATTATTCCTTACCTAGTAAAAATAACTAGCTACCTAGAATTTGCATAAAGGCAACTGAGTTATCTGCAAATTTGGTATGCCCAGGGATGCTAAACGAATACAATCGATACCTCATGAAGATGTCTGGATGTTATAGGAATAATGTTGCAGACAAACAATATTGTAGATAGAATAAAAAATGTTTTCAGAAGTGGTCTGTCAATCTTAATGCAAGTTCTATACAATGTAGAGTGCACCACTGTACTCCACTGTTGGCTCTTAATACACTTTGTTTCACCCTGCCAAGGAAATAGTTATGAGTAAGACCTCAACTTGGATGCCAGTCTATTCAAGATACTTCAAAATGATCAAGATTCTATTGAGTGAGATTCAGAATTGTGTGAAAACAGGCCCTTAACGAAGGGCCCTTCAGTCTCAGATAGTAAGAATCAATGTCGTGTCCTAACAACCTATCTGAGATCTTTAGTAACTTGATATGACCATTTGTGGCTGTATACATATTATCCTGGTATGAAAATGAGAAAAGGTATCATTTGCTTTGGTTGATAATAGGGTTTATTCCTTCAATATATATTTGAGTGCATATTATGTATTCTACACTGATGTCAGCTGACATAAATCAGTCAAAACAAAATGAAACCAAAAACAAATGCAAAAGTCAAGGCCCCGATATTAAGAAGAATGCATTATAAACTTGTTACCTAGTAGGCATACTGTAACATGTCATTAGAGTCACAGATAAAAGATTTAAACAGAATTTTAATTTCATTAGCAACTTTGTTGAATGTTCTCATCTCTAGTAATTTTCACATGTATTATTTTAGGTTTCTATGTAGAAAATCATAAAAACTGCAAGTAATGGGAATTCTATTTCTTTATATCCCATCCATGTTTATTTTACTACTATTTTCCATTTCATTTTACCATAATTTACAAAAATTGGCATAAATTCCTTTGGAATCAATTTGTTTTCTTCTTTTTTTTTTACTTTTGACATTTTAAGTAAAATATGATACACACACAAAAGTGCACAAAACTACACATATAACTCAATAAATTACCACAAAGAGAACATATTTGTAGCCATCACCCTGATCAAGAAGCAGAATATCACAAGAACACTGAAACCATTAGACCCTTTCCAATTATCACCTCTACCTTCCCCATGAAAAGTAACTAATATGCAGACTTCGAACACCACAGTTTTGTTTTCTTGTTTTGGAATATTTTATAAAGTCATATAGTATGTGTTCTTTTGTATCCAGCTTTTTTCTTTTGTATTTAGCTTTTTTACTTCATAGTATATCCATGAGATCCATCTATTTTTTTTAAATCTTAAATTCTGTTACCATCATATGAATACAACATGATTTATTTTTACATTTTTCTATTGATGGACTTTTGGATTGTTTCTGGTTTTTGTTTATACAAGAAAGACTGATACATAAATAAATTTTACATATGTCATTTGGTGCATATGTTCATGTATATATTTTTAATATATATCTGTAAGTAGAATAGTGGGTTTATAGAATAAGCATACAGCCTTAATAGATACTGATACTCAGTTTTCCAAAGTGGCTGTATACTTTAGTTGTACACACCAAAGTGGTATTTATAATACCACCAGCAGTGTATAAACATTCCTGTTTCTTAATACCCATGCCACCATTAGGTATCATTAGTCTTTTAATTGTAGCCAGTTTGATGGGTGTTTAGTCATATCTAATCATGTTTTTTTAAAAAAAAAAAAAAAAATTTCCTGAATACTAATAAGGTTAATCAACTTTTAATATTATTATTATTTTGATATTTTAAGGCTTTATTATTTTCCCTTTCACATTTAGATCTACAATACACCTGCAACAGACTTTTATATATGGTGTAAAGTAGAAGGAAAATTTGAATTATTTCAGCACCACTTTCTTCAGTGCTACCTTTGATGTGAATGAAGTATGTACGTATAATTGGGTTAACTTCTAGATTTTCAATTATATTCCAGTGTTCTTTTGTTTGTTCTTGTACCAGTATTCTATTGTATTAATTATATACCTTTACAAATTAGAGTTGTATTCATTAGATTATTTCACCATGTTCTTTTAGAAGATTTTTATTATTAGAATTTTTGACTTCCATACAAATTTTATAATCATATGCCAATTTTTAAAATACTTATTGGAGTTTTTAAGATTGCATGAAATTTCTAGGTTAATTTAGAGAGAATTGCTGACTTTAAATTTTGCATCTTCCAGGCTGTGAAGAGAGTATATACTTCAATTAAATTAATTAAAAAAAAATTTATCCGAAGAACATTTTATTATTTTAGAAGCATTTTCACACATATTGTTTTCAATTTGTTCTTAGGTACCTAATTTTTTTATAGTATTGTTAATTTTAAAAATCATTTTCTGTTTTTGGAATGTAGAAAGTTGATTTTCGTACATCCATTGACATTGTATCTAGCAATCTTCAATCTTGCCAAACTGCTTATTAATTTAACAATTTATATGTACATATTGTAGATGTTCTAAGTTTTCAATCATAGTGTTTGCAAATAATGATTATTTTATTTCTTTTTTCCACCTTTTATTTTTTAAAAGAAAACTGTTATTTCCTCATTGTGTATTTATAATCTCCAATAGATGTTATTCATCTATCCAATAGATGTTATGCAGGGTTACTGGCAATTTTCATCTCTGCAAACATTGTTTCTATCTAGAATCTCTGCTTCTTTTGGAACTCCAGTTAGGCATATGTTAGAATTCTCAATGTATCCCATATTTATCTTACCTTCTTTTCTCTATTTCCCAAACTTTTGGAGCTCTCTGCTTCATTTTCAGTGCTATGCTGCTGCTATGCCTTCTATGCTATAAGGTCCTTGACTTTCTTTTCAGTTGTATCTAATCTACTATTAACCCAACTACTGAGTTCTTAATTTTAGCTATTGTATTTTTGGGATTTAGAATTTTTGTTTAGCTCTTTCTTTTATAATTCTCTTTGCCAAAATTCTCCACCTTACATTATATATCCATGAACATACTAATCATAAAGTATTTATATGCTAACTTTATTATCTGGATTCTCTGTGGGTTATTTTCCTAGTGTTTGTTGTATATATTTGTTTGGAACACACCTTTGCCTTCTGCCTTATTATTATATGTGTAATACCAGATAGGAAACATTATAGAAATATTATGAGTTGTAAGATGCTGTTAACTGCCTCCAGAAATGTTTTATAATGGTTTATTTTTTATTTTGTAATAAAGAAGGTAGAATCAATCTCAGACCACTTTAATCCAGTTCTGGAACTGAAATGATTAGAAGCTGGATTTAATGAAAGATCATATTTACTTTTGCTTTATCCTTACTCCTGGGGCTTAACTTTACCAAACTTGTGAATTTATCAGCACTATTTTCCCATTGTCAGACTGTGCATGCCAATTTTTGTCCCCTTGGTCTACTGAGGCTGTTTTCTTTGTTTGTCTTCTCCCACTATCAGTTTCCTCTTCTGTAATCTGCATATTCCCTCAGGGATAATGGGCTTCACTGCCGGGCTCACTTTTCCCCATTTACTTCCTTTTCCTTACAAATCTTATTTCCACAGTTCAAAATTGTCTTTGTTAGCTCTCCAGTGCTTTCAAACTTATGTTTGTTGTGTTAAACTACATTTTCTGGTTATTCTTAGTTCACGTGTGGAGCTTAATTATCAAATCTGCCTCTGCTGAAATTTCTTCCCTTTATTTCATTAAAATTTCCTCCCCTTATTATTTTTTCTCTAGCTACAAACAAAAATTACTGGAGAGAGACTTTCAGCAAACTGGAGTACATAAACATTTATGAAGCATTTATCACACACCATACCATTAGTATACAGTTTAATTGTCCCCATATTCTGTGAAATCATTACTATTAATCTCCTTTTAGAGATTAAAAAAAATCAACAAAACAGTGGATAGAAGATTCCACTTTAAGAGTGTTTTTCATATATTGATGTACACAAATCAACAATTCACGTGGGGTTATTGTTAAATGCAGACTCTGGATTCAGGTGATCTGTGGTGTGGCCTGAAATTCTGTATTTTTAATGAACTCCCAGGTCAGGCTAATGTTGCAATTCCATAGATCACAGATTGGGTAGCAAGGCACATCACACCACCAACACAGTTTTTCTTTTTGCCCATATGGTTTAAAATCAGTCCTCCTCCTCTTCTGACAAGCTTATCTTATTCCTTTCCAATTCTCATACTTCCCTCCTCCATGCTTTAAAACAACTTCCCTTTCTATGAATTTACTGCCAGTAATATTCTAACTAGGCTCCCTTATTCCTCAGTTTAAACTGTAATCTTGAACTCATCCATACCCTACTCCCGCATCTGACTTTCTGTTGCTTATACTCTATGGCAGCCATAAGTCTAGCTTAGTCAACAGCTTTGGAGCTCCATGCTTTCCAGGTTTAATTTTTTCAACATCTGCCTTTCCTTTCATTATTTATTATTTTCTAGTAAATGAGGGTTGTGTGTTAACATGCAAAACCAAAAACGAACAAAAGCCAACAGGCTTTCTGAGTACAGAGATCAAGTTGAAAAATTATGAATACTATTTCTCAAAATGAAATTGAAAACTTCTGTGCCATACTAAGGTAGTTTACTGGAAATAGGAAACAAAGTCATGTTACGATTGATGAAAACAATGTAGAATACCTAAATCAAGCTAATTAACATATTAATCACCTCAAATACTTATTATAATTTTTTGTGGTGAGGACATTTGAAATTTACTGTCAGCAATTTTGAAATAAATATATAATACTATAATTAATTATATTCACCACACTGTGCAATAGATCTCCAACAAAACCTAATTCCTTTGGTCTGCCTGAGACTTTGTACCCTTTGACTCACCTCTGCATTCGTCCAGCCTCTGAAGTCACCATTCTACTCTCTGCTTCTATGAATTCACTTTAGATTCCACTATAAGAGAGAATATGTGGTATTTGTCTTCCTGTGCCTGGCTTTTTCACTTAGCATAATGTTCTCTAATTCCATTCCTTTTGTCACAAATGACAGGGTTTTCTTTTTCGTAAGGCTGAATAGTGTTTCATTGTGTCTATATACATTTTCTTTATCAATTCATCCATTGATTAACACCTATGTAGATTCCATATCTTGGCTATTGTAAATAATACTGCAATAAATGTAGCAGTGGAGACGTCTCTTTGACAAACCAATTTCAAATCTTCTGGGTAAATATCCAGAAGTGAGAGTGCTGGATCATATGGTAATTATATTTTTTGGAACTTACTAGTTTTACATAATGGTTGTACTAGTTTACATTCCCACCAACAGTGTAAAAGGGTTCACTATTCTTCAAATCTTCTCCAACACTTGTTACCTTTCACATTTTTGATACCAGCCATTCCGAAAGGTGAGAGGTGAAATTTCATTGTGTGTCTAATTTGCATTTCCCTAATCATTAGCAATATTGAACATTCTTTTTCATATAACTGCTGGCCATTTGTATGTTTTCTTTTGAGAAATGCCTACATGGGTCCTTTGCCAATTTTTTAATTGGGTTATTTGTTTTGTTGCAATTAAGTTATTTGAGTTCCTTATATATTTTGAACATTAACCCCTTAACAGATATATAGCTTGCACATATTTTCTCCCAAATCATAGGTATCTCTCTTCACACTCTTCATTGTTTCCTTTTCTGTGAAGAAGCTTTTTAGTTCGATGTTATCCCATTTGTCTATTTTGGCTGCTGTTGCCTGAACTGTTGGGATCAAATTCAAAAAAATTATTATCCAGAAAAATGTTGTATAGTTTCACCCTTGTGTTTTCTTCTAGTAGTTTTATAGTTTCCAGTCTTATATTTAAGTCTTTAATCCATTTTGAGTTTATTTTAGTATTTGGTATGCAATAAGCTTCCAATTTCATTCTTCTGTATGTGGATGTCCAGTTTTCCCAGCACCCTTTATTGAAAGGACTATCCTTTTCCCATTGTGTATTCTTGACACTTTTGTGGAAAATCAATTGACCATACATGTATAGTTCATTTCTGGGCTCTCTATGCTGTTCTATCTGTTAATATATCTGTTTTATGCCAGTACCATGCTGTTTTATTTACTGCTTAATATACTGTTGATTTGTAATATAGATTAAAAGTAGGTAGCATGATGCTACCAGCTTTTTTCTGTTTGCTTATGATTGCCTTGGCTATTTGAATGTTTTTTGTTGTTATTGTACCATATGAATTTTAGTCTCATTTGTTCTATTTCTATGAAAAATGACATTGGAATTTTGATAGGGATTGCACTGAGTCTATAAATCATTTTGGTTAGTATAGACATTTTAACAATATTAATTCATTCAACTCATGAACATGAGATACCTTTCCATTTATTTGTGTCTCTTCAATTTCTTTCCTCAATGTCACAGTTTTCAGTGTGGAAGTCTTTCACCACCATGGTTAAATTTATTCTTAAGTATTTTATTTTTTGCAGCTAGTATAAATGGAATTAGTCCCCTGATTTTTTTTTCAGACAGTTCATTGTTAGTGTATAGAAATGCTACTGATTTTTGTGTGTTGATTTTGTATCTTTCAACTTTACTGTATTTGTTTGTTAGTGTATTATTAGTTTGTAAGTGTTTTGTAGTAAAATCTTTAGTGTTTTCTGTATATAAAATTATGTCAGCAAAAAGTGACAATTTTGTTTCTTCCATTCCTGTTTGGATGCCTTTTGCTTCTTTCTCTTGCTTAATTGCTCTGGAAGACTTTTAATATTCTGTTGAATAGAAATGGCAAGAGTGGGCATCTATGTTTTCCTCCACATCTTAGAGGAAAGCCTTTCAATTTTTCAAGGATATTAGCCTGTAGTTTTCTTTGCTTGTAATATCCCCATCTGGCTTTGATAGCAGGATAATGTAAGCCTCCTGATACCAGTTTAAAAGTATTCATTCCTTGGTGTTTTTGGAAAAATTTAAAGGGGATTGGTATTATTTATTCATTAAATGTTTGGTAGAATTCAGTAGTGATGACATAAGATCCTGGACTTTTTTTTTGATAAGAGAGTTTTAACTTATGATTAAATCTCCTTACTACCTTTTGGTCTGTTCACATTTTCTGTTTCATCATGATTCAGTGTTGGTAGGTTGTGTCTAGGAATTTATTCATTTCTTTTAGTTTCCTGAATTTGTTGACATATAATTGTTCATAATAGTATCGTATGATTCTTTGTATTTCTGTGGTATCATTTGCAATATCTTCTCTCTCATTTCTGATTTTGCTTGAGTCTTCTCTATTTTTTTCTCATTACTCTGGCTAAAGGTTTGTCAATTTTGTTTATCTTTTCAGAAAATCAGTTCTTAGTTTCATTGATCTCATATGGTTTTTCTGTCTTGGATTCATTTATTTCTGCTCTGATCTTTATTATTTCCTTTCCTCCTCCTAACTTTGGGCTTAGTTTGCTCTTTTTCTAGTTCCTTGAACAATAACATTAAGTTGTTTATTTGAGATCTTTCATTTTTTATGTGGGCATTTATTAAACAACTTTACTCTTAGAACTGCTTTTGTTGTACCCCACAAGTTTTGATATGTTGTGTTTCCATTTTCATTTGTCTCCAGATATTTTAAATGTATCTATTAATTTCTTCATTGACCCATCGGTTGTTCAGGAGAATTGTTTCATTTCCACATATTTGTGAATTTCCAATTTTTGTGTGTGTCATTGATTTTTAGTTTTGGGCCGGGCGTGGTGGCTAACCCCTGTAATCTCATCACTTTGGGAGGCCAAGGCAGGTGGATCACCTGAGGTCAGGAGTTCAAGACCAGCCTGGCCAACATGGTGAAACCCAGTCTCTACTAAAGATACAAAGATTAGCTGGGCGTGGTGGCGGGTGCCTGTAATCCCAGCTACTTGGGCAGCTGAGGTGAGAGAATCGCTTGAACCTGGGAGGCAGAGGTTGCAGTGAGCCATGATTCCACCACTGCACTCCAGCCTGGGCGACAGAGCAAGAATCTGTCTCAAAAGGAAAAAAAAGATTTCTAGTTTTATGCAATTGTAGTTGGAAAAGATACTTGATATGATTTCAGTCTTACATTTGCTAAGTCTTGTTTGTGACCTAATATATAATCTGTCCTAGAGAATGTTCCATATGTGTTTGAGAAGAATGTGTATTCTCTTGCTGTTGGATGGAATGTTCCGTATATGTCCGTTAGGTTCATTTGGTCCAAGTGCTGTTCAAATCCAATGTTTCCTTCTTTATTTGCTGACTGAATGATTTGTCCATTGTTAAAAGTGAGGTATTGAAGTCCTCTACTATTATTGTATTATAATCTATCTCTCCCTTCAGATATATTACTATTTGTTTTATATATTTAGGTGTTGGATATTGAGTATGTGTATATATACACATACACAAACACGTATGTATTTACAAGTATTATATCCTTTTGATGAGTCAATTTCTTTGTCATAATATAATGTTCTTATTTGCCTCTTTTTACATTTCTGACATAAAGTCTGTTTTGTCTGATGTAAGTATAGCTACCTCTGTTCTTTTTTTGTTTCAATTTGCATAGAGTATCTTTTGTCATCTCTTCACTTTCAGTCTATATGCATCCTTAAAAGTAAGGTGAGTCTCTTGATGTTTCTTGTAGGTAGCAAGTAGTGGGTCTTATTTTTTAATCCATTCACTCATTCTATGTCTTTACTGAAGAATTTAAACCATTTACATTCAAATTAATTATTGATTGCTAAGACTTATTATTGCCATGTCGTTAACTGTTTTCTAGGTAGTTTTGTAGATACGTTTTTTTCTCTCTCTTGTCTTTTTTTTGGTTTGATGGTTTTTTGTTACAGTATGCTTTGAACCCTTTCTTTAAATTTGTTTTGTGCTTCTATTGAAGATTTTTGTTCTGCTGTTACATGAGGCTTACTTCAGACCTCTTATAACACACAGTCTATTTCAAGCTGGTAACTTGAATTGCCTACAACACTGTACACTTATATTTCCCCCCATTTTATGTTTTTGATTTCAGAATTTACATCATTTTGTAATGAGCACCTTTTTACAATTTATTGTAGGTATTGTTTTTCTTAATAGTTTTGTCTTTTAACCCTGGAACTAGTAATAAAATTGAGTTACACACAATCGTTAAAGTCCTGAAATATTCTGAATATGGCTCTGTATTACTTATGCCATTGAGTTTTATGCTTTTGTGTGTTTTATGCTATTAGTTAGTAATGTTTTGTTTCAGCTTAAAGTGCTCTCTTTCACACTTCTTGTAATACAGGAAGTGGTAATAAACTCTCTTAAATTTTGTCTGAGAAACTTTTATTTTTCCTTCATTTCTGAAAGACAGGTTAGCTGGGAAAATATTAGTTAGCAGTTCTTTTTCACCAGCACTTTGAATATATCATCCTTCTGTCTTTTGCCCAAAATCTGCTGGTAGTCATATTGTGACTTATTTGAATACAATGTGTTTCTTATCTCTTGTTGCTCTCAGAAATTTTTCTTTGTCTTAGAATTTGATAGTTTGATTATTATATATCTTATTGAACTCCTCTTTGGGTTGAATTCGATTGGAGACATCTGCATTTCCTGTACCTGATGTAGGCATCTTTTCCCAGATTAGGGAAGCTTTCAGTCATTATTTCTTATAATATTCTTTATAGCCTTTTTTACTTTTTTCTCTCCTTCTTTAACTGCTGTTTTGTGAAGATGTGATCTCTTGATGGTGCCTCATAATTTCTGTCAGCTTTCTTTCTTCTTTTAATTTCCTTTGTCTTTTTCTCTTCTGACTGGAAAAGTTTAAATGTTCTGCCTCTAGCTAATTGATTTTTTTGTCTGCCTTATCAGTCTAATGTTGAAGACTTGTACTGAATTTTTTCGGTTCAGTCATTGTATTTGTCTTTAGGATTTCTACTTAAATGTTTTTTATTTCTTTGTCAAACTTCTTGCATTATTCATGTATTATTTTCCAAATTTTATTTTCTATCCATATATTCTTATATTTCACTGAACATTAAAAGGATTATTCTGAATTCTTTATCAGTAATTTTATAGGTCTCTATTTCTTTAGAGTCCATTATTGGAGCTTTATTAGTTTCTGTGGGAGGAGCTATGATCCCCTGATTCTTGTCTTTTTGTGTTATTGTCTGCATATTTGAAGAGACAGCCATCTTTTCTGGCCTTTATAGGTGTTCTTTGGCAGGGATAGCTCTTCACTATTTAGTCACAACTGTGATTCTATAAGGGGCAACTGGTGGTGATTTCAGGAAGGCAGGGATTATTGAGGGTTCTCTAGTTGGTTAGATTGCTGCCTTTGTTCCGACACTAAGTGTAGCCATTTGCTGGGCTCTGCTGTCTGGCCACTGGCCTCTGGTCAGGTCAGTCACGAAATATATTCCCTGGCTGTGTGACTCTGTTATTTAAAATCTTTAGTTGGGCAGATCTATAGTCTAGGTTCTGAGGTTAGGAAGAGTCACTGTTTGGGATGGGTGGAACCAAAGGCTATGCTCCTTAGAAATGCATGGTTGAGGATGGCCTCCCTGTCTGGAAACAACCATGGGGCAGGCTTTTTGCTGAGTGGAGCTGCTGTTTGACCTCCTGGGTCAAGCAGGTCTAGTCTTTACATATTTCTGAAATGCATGGAGTTGAGTGTCTCCCTGTCTTGGCTGTGTCATTGGGGTGGGCTCTGAAGGTTGGTATGTTGTCTAGGAAATCAAGCCAGGTTGAACCTCCCACTGTGCTTCTGAAGGCAACCAGCTCAGTTTTGCAGGTGACCTACGCAGTTGACTGGTATCTCTCACTGGGTACCACAGCTTGCAGGAACATAGAGGAACCACCAAAATCTGCACACTGGTCACTGAGAGCTCTGTCTTCTTTCTTTGTTTTTACTGGATCCTAGGTAGTACAGCTGTGCTATTAGTCTCAGTGTTCCCCCTGAGGTAAGACCAGAGGAAGCATCTCGGAATGCTAGGGAAGCTGGATGACTGACCACCTTCAGTTCTCTAGTCCCTCTGTAGAAACTGTGGACCCTGGGGAAATCCTCTCTGTGTAGCACTATGCCAACTTGCAGGGGGTGGGGCAGGGATAGCGTGGTTGAAGCATTACTATACTTACACTAATAATTTGCTTCTTATTTAGTTCTTTGGACCACATGGTTGTTTCCAGCTTGTTTTCAAGTCTTGGGATTTTAAAAAATGATACTCTGGTCTGTGGACAGTTGCTAGTTTAACTTTCTAGAGGAGGGGGGTGGAGAATGAGACTTCCTATTTCATTATCTTGCTAATGTCACTCAAACATGATTTCTTAGTCTTTCTGGGCCCTCCTCTCCCTAACAAAACACATTCCAAAAGAATGGTAAATATGATATCAGGATAAATGAAAAAGAAGACAATTATGTCAGAGGGAAAAAAACAACCTTATCAGATTTCATAGCAAATGATTTCAATTCGTATCTAACTTCTTTAGCCTTTTATATAATGTCAAACTCATTCTCCTGAGGAAAAGTAAGATTGTGCTTTTATCATTTAATATTAAGAACGCTCATCATTTTGTTTTGCAGAAATTTTAGCTTGAATGTTGATTAAATATTTAGGTGGTTGTTAAATTTGGTGTTAATTTGCAGGACTTCATTATTTCCAAGACTTCTAAGTTTATATTGTGATTTCTGAATCAAAATACTAGCTGGTCTCAAAACCTTCAAGGACACTCAACAATAGTTTGTATCAAGGAACACAAAATCTTTACTAGTAAAATTTCCAGCCCACTCAGTTAAAAACACCAGATAGCACTATTGAAAAGATGTGTGAAGAAATTGAGAGGGTAAGTATATTAAGGATTTTGATTAAAAAGTTTTAACCTTTACTTGAATCCATATCTTAATGTAATCTTTTTCTATTAGAAAATCTGGATCTCAATATGATATCACCTCCTAACAAGTTATATATTAGCAGCAAGTTTAATTTTTTTAGTTTAGAATATAATTGACAAAAGTTTGCTTAGTTTTGATTATATTTTCTGAGTTAATATTATTAGTATCTGTAAAGCTAAAAACAGTTGAATAATGAGCTTGAATATTTTAATGGCCTTACCTTGATTAGGTTGAAAAAGTAATGGTGGAGGGCGGAAATCATAAAGAAAGTAATTTCACAGCCAGCCAGCCAAACACATAAAGTACACAGTTTTATATTTTCCTGCTCCATAATTTGTCTATTATTTTGTATACACACTTATGCATAATAATGAACAAATTGTAGAATACTAAAATATAAAAGTTATTCAGTTAACCAAAATGAAATAAGCAGAAACAGTTTCATAGCCATTTTAAAATTTATAAAGTACTGCTACTGTCCTGCCTTAGTAAACTTACCAGTCAAACCAGCTGTTTCTTTCATTTCATCCAAAGGGGATCAAGTGAGAATGTGGTATAGCAATGGTACTCCTGCGAAAGGAAGAACAAGCCAAATAAGCTTGGTGAGGGTGGGTGCTCAAAAGTCCAGTGAAATGGGAAACCCAGGTGATCAGTGACAGTGGTGGAAGTATCATTAAAACTGTAGGACATTCGTGAGGAATGTGTTCTATTAATAGGGAAATCCCAGGAAATTATATCTTGCTGACTCCTTAAAAGGAGGAAATCAGTTGTAGGAACACAAGTCTATCTCTTTCTCTTCTCTGTGCTTCTTTTCTTTCCTTTCCTTTCTGCTTCTCTTCACAGGGCATGAATGAAAACTGGTTGGCAAGATACCAGGAAAAATTAGAATAAATGATCTGGACTAACTTGGAGAAAGAGGCCTTGGTAAGAACCAAGACTAGCTGATTTTCATACCTCTTCTGAAAAGCTCTCAAGCGTTTTCCATAGTGCAAGAGCTATTAATTTTACAAGTTAGCTAAATTGCCAAGTTTATTTTGTTAGTGTCCATCTTCTCTTTCTGAGTGCCTCTCCTATTTCCCCTTTTGATTCCCTTTATATTCTCTTCTCTTCTTTTCCAGGCAGCCAAAGGTCAAAACCTGCTAACTCACAGTTCTGACTTTTCCCTGATAAATTTCTTTTTTTTTTTTCCCAACCAACAAAATCACAACTAAGTGTCTGCATAGGAGTTATCAGCATGGCTAAACTAAGAAAATTCACTTTAGGGTATAAACATATGTCCCTGCTATCCTAGAGACACATGTGTTTCTACCCACCTCTTTGGTTTACTCCCACCTACCTAGTTAAAAGAAACAAAATCAGCATCAAAGCCAAATAAATATTTTCACCGCCTGTCTTTCTTACTCTTGATAATGTTCTCTGGTTGCAAATGATGGTAAAAGCTATTAATTGATGATGTGGGTACTGGTGGTGGTAGGAGGATTTGTAAAATGAATGGGTACAATAAGCCGGGAAATTTAAAGCATTGAAATTTATGACAGGGTGGGTAAACATGAGTAAGAGATTTTGCTCTGCCAAAGTTTAGCAACTGTAAGTTCTGTATTATAGCTCTGACCAAAAGATAAGGCCAAAATATTTACTTTGACTAGGAGATAAAGCCAAAAAATATATCCTAAACATTGTCTTATTGAAATCAGAGACCTCTCCATATTAAAACAAATAATTATTCTATTATTCAAGGAGCAAAACCAAAATAAAATTGTCCTATGCAAAGAAAGTAGTAGGCAGGTCTTGGGTATCAGGATTTTATATGACATTGATAAGGAAAGTTATAGAGAAAGAATTTTACAAATAATACATTTACATTTGATTTTTCCTCCACATATAAAAAAAGAAGGAATTTTCAGAGCATTAAAAAAAGAAGCCCATTAATTCACTTTTTTATTCATTATAACACACAAAGCTTATGAATACTTCTTATGCTGTAGGTAGCATCTGATAGTTGGGTTAGCCATGTGGATCATCTCAGGCTACTACCTCACTCTGAGGTGGAAATAGACATAAAATGGAAATATACAAAATAATAAAGAGACAAATCTGTCTTATGCCTTTTACAATATATTGAAAGTTTAACAAGTTTAAATAAATAGAGTATCAATAAAAGGAAATTTGGTTGTAAGTGACAGAATTATACAGAAATGGTCAGAGTAAGACCTTAGCCATTCACCTCCAAGAACTATCCAAAGGGAAGGAATCCCTGTGCCAAGGACTTGAGATGTCTAGTCTAGTGCCTGATATTTGTCTTTTGTGGGAAAAAATGTTATGTTCTGATGCTTTTAAACATTCATCTCAAATAAACAATATTTCTGTTGTGATTCTTCTTTCAGCCTGCAGAAATTCCCTGTTCATAATGTTACTTTTTCTATAATTTGCTTACAGAGAGAGAATGCACTGGTTGGAGGACTTGAAGTGTCTGAATATTTTAGCATTTATACTTATCAGTATACACTATTAAAAATGGCATTTTAATTTCTTTATATTTGTCTCATGAGCCTTATCTGAATGACTCAAACTCAAGTCTGATTAAGTCTGAAACACCTAAGGTGACACTTTTAGACTGTGTTCTAGGGAGTACAACTGCCCCAGCAGTTGTAAAGGGATGTTTTTAAACTAAACATTTTGTGCTCAAATAAATGTGAAACTGAATTCAAATTCACACTGTATCTACTCACTAACTATATGACCTGCATCAAATAGTTAACCACCCTCTCCCCTTTTTTTTTGAGCTGGGGTTTCACCCTGTCACTCAGGCTGGGGTGCAGTGGCTGATCCTGGCTCACTGTAACTTCCAACCCAAGCAATCCTCTCACCTAGCCTCCTAAGTAGCTAGGAGCACAGGCACACACTACCACACCTGGCTAATTTTTTGTATTTTTGGAAGTGATGAGATTTCGTCATGATGCCCAGGCTGGTCCTGAATTCCTGAGCTCAAGTGATCTACCCGCCTCAGCCTCCCAAAATGTTGGGATTATAGGCGTGAGCTACCATGCCTGGCCAACCCTTTCATAATCTGTAAAAATTCCCATTTTAATAATTATATCTATATAAGAGAGTTGTGAACTCTAAATGACAAAATAAAGGTAAAGTAGTCATCACTGTATAGTACTGAGTAAGGGTTCAGTAAATAGCAGCTAGTAGCCACAGCAATAATAGAAAAAAATAGCCTTTAAATTACCATATCTATGTCATCATATCAGAAGTCATTAACATTGTTTTTCATCATTAATGCAGCATTATATAAGATTTTGTTCATTTGTACTTAATATCCTTTATGTAGATTGGAAACTAATGTTAAGCTAATTTCTGGAATTTTTTTTCAATGACAGGTTTCTATTCGTCATCAAAAGACCTTCAGGCAATTAATAAGAGACATGAATGAGAATGAAAGTGATGATATAAAGCATGTTAATAAGTGTATAAAGGAAACATGACTCACTGAGAAAAGTAAATACAGCTCCATTGACTAAATTCTAGTGGTAAAACTAACTGATAATGATAAAAGAAGCCCAGAGTCATATAACAACATTTATTAGGGAAACTGCACATTCAACTAGTGATAACAAAAGCAAAATATTAACAGAAAATATGGGCAAGGATTATGGTTTCTGAATGTTGGAATTAGAAAAGCTAAAATGTCCCATGCAAAACATTTATTTCAAATTAAAATGTTCTTTAATAACAAACTAGTTTGCATTTCAAACAATTACTGATAAAGATTTCTGCATTAATAGGCCCTATAACTCATTATATGAATTGATAAATATAGTTACACAGTCAAATAGGAAAAGTTTGTCATTTTTCCTATTTTTTATGCCCTCTATTTGTTCACATCAATGAATATAAAGAAAAATGTAATGTGTTAATTTTCTTTCAGACAGGGTGTTACTCTGCCATCCAGGCTGGAGTGCAGTGGCATGATTACAGTTCACTGCAGCCTCAACCTCCTGGGCTCAAATGATCCTCCCTTCTCAGCCGCCTGAGTAGCTATGACTACAGGCATGCACCACCATGCCCAGCTAATTAAAAAAATTTATGTATATATAAATCATGTCTTATTATGTTGCTTGGGTTGGTCTCAAACCTCTGGACTCAAGCAATGCTCCTGTCTCAGCCTCCCAAAGTGCCAGGATTACAGGTATGAGCCACCACACCCAGCCTAATATGTTAAATTATTCTGAATTTTAACTCTTATCACCAACGTGTAAAACAATAAAAATGTACATTTACTTTAATCGAACATTACAAAAAACTAATATTTATGTCTATATCTTGATCTATATATTAAACAAGTTAGTATGAAAGTTATCAAAATCACAGTAGTAACAAATTACTAAAGTACATAAGCAGACAATAGTCTCATGAAGAAGTATAATTAGTAAACAAACAGGAAAAATATTTTTAACTTTGTGATATCCAAAAACTAAAGTAAAAATAAGACTTTAACTTTGCTTATAAAATCAGCAAAATTAATTTAAACTTCTAGAGTAGTAAAACTCTATGCTTTACAGGTAGACAAGGAGGAACATTGGTTTTGGTGTTTGACAAAACATTTTGGATTTGAATCCGAGATCTCTCAATTGCTATGTGATTTAAAATAAATTCTTAATATGCCTGAGCCTCTTATTTTTTTCCTTTGTGCAAACCTGGGGATAACAGTATTTTTCTTTTGGGATTGTAAAGAGGTGAATAAAATAAGGATTATTTATGTTTTTTCTCCATAATCATTACCAGTATCTGACATATAGTTGACACTTGATATTTGTTAAACTAATAAATTTTTAAAATGTAATGTGTTGTTTGTTTCTTTGTTTGTTTTGAGATAGGGTCTCACTATGTCTTCTAGGCTGGTGCACAGTGGTGCTATTATGGTTCACTGCAGACTCAACCTTCTTCTAAAGATTGATGTCTGTGGCTACCAAGATTCGTATGTTGAAACCTACTCACCAATGTGTTGGTATTAAGAGGTGAAGCCACTGGGTGGTGATTGGGTCATTAGAGCAGAGCCCTAATAAATTAGATTATTGCCCTCCTGAAAGAGAACATAGTGAGCTGCCTTGCCCCTTTTACCATTGGAGGGTGCAGAGAGAAGGCACCATCGATCAACCAGTAATTGAGCCCTTACCAGACACAGATCTGCTGGTACCATGATCTTGGACTTTCCAGCCACCAGAACTGTGAGAAATAAATTTCTGTTGTTTGCAAGCCTCCTAGTTTATTGTTGTCATAAATTTATTTAATATAGTTGCTGCCTTGGCATCAATTTATAGACCTGACATAAGTTGCTTGAAACTTAGTTGTACCACATCACCTTTGGCCTAGTTAAAACTTACCCTCCCAATGTGGTTGTTTAAGATACGCCTTCCTGGGCCGAGCGTGGTGGCTCACGCCTATAATCTCACCCAAGGCCGAGGTCAGGAGATTGAGACCATCCTGGCTAACATGGTGAAACCCCATCTCTACTAAAAACACACAAAAAAACAAAAAATTAGCTGGGCATGCTGGCGCGCACCTGTAGTCCTAGCTACTCGGGAGGCTGAGGCAGGAGAGTTGCTTGAACCTGGGAGGTGGAGGTTGCAGTGAGCTGAGATCACACCACTGCACTCCAGCCAGGGAGACAGAGCAAGACTCTATCTCAAAAAAAAAAAAAAAAAAAAAAAAGATATGCCTTTCTTAATTTATCATCTCACTGATCCAAAACCCAACACATTCCACAGCTGCTGACAATGGTAAAACCTAATGGTCAATACCAGAGTCATGCAAACAAATTATCCTAGAATGTGTTTTCCTTAAATTGGCCAATCCATAACCCCATTGGAAAACCTAAGAAATAATATATAAGAACCTTAATAAAGGCGTAGCCCTGCAGGTTCTCTCTCTCTCTCTCTGTCTTTTCCCCTTTCTCTTTCTCTCTTTCTCTCTCCCTCTGTTCACCTGCTGGTTAAGTTTCTCTCACCTCCAGATTTCCCACCAGCCCCTATTTGTACCCCTAACCTCTCTTAGACTTGAGAATAATACATTTCTTCCATTATATGCATTTTGGTTTCACTCCCTCATTGTGTCTTACCTAACAGACCCACCGACCGTAACTCTCTACCCCATCAGTGCTCTCTTAGAGGGTAGATATCTGGCTTATGGTCACTCTCCAGAGAGACCTTAAGATCAAATTAGGCTCCCTCTCCCTCTCCCTCTCCCTCTCCCTCTCCCTCGCCCTCGCCCTCGCCCTCTCCCTGTCCCTCTCTTTCCAAGGTCTCCCTCTGATGCCGAGCCGAAGCTGGACTGTGCTGCTGCCATCTCGGCTCACTGCAACCTCCCTGCCTGATTCTCCCGCCTCAGCCTGCCGAGTGCCTGCGATTGCAGGCGCGCGCCGCCACGCCTGACTGGTTTTCGTATTTTTTTGGTGGAGACGGGGTTTCGCTGTGTTGGCCGGGCTGGTCTCCAGCTCCTAACCGCGAGTGATCCGCCAGCCTCGGCCTCCCGAGGTGCCGGGATTGCAGATGGAGTCTCGTTCACTCAGTGCTCAATGGTGCCCAGGCTGGAGTGCAGTGGCGTGATCTCGGCTCGCTACAACCTCCACTTCCCAGCCGCCTGCCTTGGCCCCCCAAAGTGCGGAGATTGCAGCCTCTGCCCGGCCTCCACCCCGTCTGGGAAGTGAGGAGCGTCTCTGCCTGGCCGCCCATCGTCTGGGATGTGAGGAGCCCCTCTGCCTGGCTGCCCAGTCTGGAAAGTGAGGAGCATCTCTGCCCGGCTGCCATCCCACCTAGGAAGTGAGGAGCGCCTCTTCCCGGCCGCCATCCCATCTAGGAAGTGAAGAGTGTCTCTGCCCGGCCGCCCATCGTCTGAGATGTGGGGAGCGCCTCTGCCCCATCGCCCCGTCTGGGATGTGAGGAGCACCTCTGCCTGGCCGCGACCCTGTCTGGGAGGTGAGGAGCGTCTCTGCCCGGCCGCCCCATCTGAGAAGTGAGGAGACCCTCTGCCTGGCAACTGCCCCATCTGAGAAGTGAGGAGCCCCTCCGCCCCGCAGCCACCCTGTCCGGGAGGGAGGTGGGGGTCTCAGCCCCCAGCCTGGTCAGCTGCCCCTTCTGGGAGGGAGGTGGGGGGTCAGCCCCCCGCCCGGCCAGCCGCCCTGTCTGGGAGGTGAGGGGCGCCTCTGCCCGGCCACCCCTGCTGGGAAGTGGGGAGCCCCTCTGCCCGGCCACCACCCCGTCTGGGAGGTGTACCCAACAGCTCATTGAGAACGGGCCATGATGAGAATGGCGGTTTTGTGGAATAGAAAAGGGGGAAAGGTGGGGAAAAGGTTGAGAAATCGGATGGTTGCTGTGTCTGTGTAGAAAGAAGTAGACATGGGAGACTTTTCATTTTGTTCTGTACTAAGAAAAATTCTTCTGCCTTGGGATCCTGTTGATCTATGACCTTACCCCCAACCCTGTGCTCTCTGAAACATGTGCTGTGTCCACTCAGGGTTAAATGGATTAAGGGTGGTGCAAGATGTGCTTTGTTAAACAGATGCTTGAAGGCAGCATGCTCGTTAAGCGTCATCACCACTCCCTAATCTCAAGTACCTAGGGACACAAACACTGCGGAAGGCCACAGGGTCCTCTGCCTAGGAAAACCGGAGACCTTTGTTCACTTGTTTATCTGCTGACCTTCCCTCCACTATTGTCCTATGACCCTGCCAAATCCCCCTCTGCGAGAAACACCCAAGAATGATCAATAAAAAAAAAAAATAAAAGACCAAATTAGAAAGAAACCATAACCAAAAAAATCACAATGATGGTATTTTGTTATAGCAGCTCAAATGAACTAAGACCAATGAATAAAGGGATGAACAAACATGAAAAATGGCTATAAGAGCAATAACCAAAAATATATCCCACAAATATTTATTCCTATCTCTTTTTTTGGAAATGCTGAAATACAATTTCATATTGCTGATGACAATGTAAACCAATTCAACCTTTTTAGGAATTAATTTGGAAACTTATAATTTGTTATAAAGTTGTTTGAAGAAACATACAACTTTAAAAACCCAACAATCCTTTCTCTAGGAACTTTCGCTTAAATGTTATTCTAAATAAGGCAAACACAACCCAACATCTAGTGATTCATAAAATTTTCATATGAAGTATAAAATGAATGATTTTTCCAAGATCACACATCCAATCACACTTCCACAGAGGAGATTACTGTTAACAGTTTGTGATGTTCTTCCAGTCTTTAAGAAAAATCTCATAAAGCATGTTGATTAAAATCATCAGTGTACGGCCGAGGTGGGAGGATCACGAGGTCAGGAGATCAAGACCATCCTGGCTAACACGGTGAATCCCCACCCCTACTAAAAAAAAAAAAACACAAAAAATTAGCTGGGCGTGGTGGCGGGCGCCTGTAGTCCCAGCTACCAGGGAGGCTGGGGCAGGAGAATGGCGTGAAGCCAGGAGGCGGAGCTTGCAGTGAGCCGAGATCACACCACTGCACTCCAGCCTGGGCGACAGAGCAAGACTCCATCTCAAAAAAAAAAAAAAAAAAAAAACTCATCAGGGTACACAATTGCATATGTTCTAAATACATGATAATTGATAGAGTTGTATGTGTACATATTAGGAATATTTTTAAATCAGCAAATAAAATATTTGCAATAAATATTTGGATTATGTTGATTTCCAAGCTTTGATGTAATTACAATGACTCAAGAAAGCTGTATTCTGTACAGTGAAACGATTGCTTCCTGTGGACATAGCAAAAGACTGAAATAAGAATTCAAGCAATATTATTTAATGAGGAACAGTTTTTGCAATTGTTGTTATATCACACACACACACACACACACACACACACACACACACACACACACAAAGACCAGTATACTTTTGAGGATTTAACAAATAAAGAATATGGCCTTAGTTTGTAGAGCAAATTTATATTATCTAGCACAATGCTTACATTCAAATTATCTAAAACCATTATCAGATATCAGTATCTGATGAGTCGTTCTTCATATGAGTATTAAGATAATCACATCAACACTGAATTATACAATACTGTCAGGGTAATATACTTTAAATAATATGCTAAACTTGTATGACATCAAAATGTCATTACTATTTGGATAAATTTGAGCCAGTATAATTTAAAAAAAATGTTATCCAAGAGGTGAATTCTAGCTGTGCAGTGCTGGAAAAAAACAGATGAACAAACCATAAAAACAATAGTGTTTATACAAGATGTCAGACAACTTAAAAAATAAGGTAAACATATTCACAGCTCCAACCAATAAACATTATCAATTCAACTCTAAAAACATTTCAGCAAGATGCGGTGGCTCACGCTTGTAATCCCAGCACTTTGGGAGGCTGAGGCGGGTGGATCACCTGAGGTCGGGAGTTCGAGACCAGCCTGACCAAAATGGAGAAACCTCGTCTCTATTAAAAATACAAAATTAACCAGATGTGGTGGCGCATGCCTGTAATCTCAGCTACTCGGGAGGCTGAGGCAGGAGAATTGCTTGAACCCGGGAGGCAGAGGTTGCGGTGAGCCGAGATCGCGCCATTGCACTCCAGCCTGGGCAACAAGAGTGAAACTCCATCTCAAAAGCAAAAACAAAAACAAAACAAAACAAAAAAAATATTTCTACATATTCTAGTTTGGAAAACATTCCTGGTCATATGTTATACATTTCAAACATGCTTATGCAATGTGTTTTATGACCATATGTATTATCTAGGATGATTTTGGCTAGGAGCAACTAAAGACAAACAATTATAGCTGGTTTAAATAGTAAGAAAATGTATTGGCTAATATAACTGAAAATCCAAAGAGAGGGCAGGATTTAAGCCAAACTTTGAGCCAGGCTAGAGGGTGCTACAAGTCCCTTCTGTTCACATTCCATCTATGAGAACCGTCAGCTGTTTGTTCTGGCTGTAAGATGGGGCAAGGAAGAATAGGCCCTGGCTGAGTGACCAGCTGTGGATTTAATTCTTTGTTCCTAAGGAGAAAGGGCAAAACTGATTTGAGAGGACGAATAGTCTCTGACACACTATTTATAAATACTAACATTTTTCATGTATTTTGTCACATATCTGAATGTGAGAAATCAACCCCACAGAGTTTTATGTATGAAAGAAAAAAAATGAATGCAATATTGGATTATTGTTTGTTCTTTTTTGATTATTTCAACTTAGATGTGATGCTACTCTGATGAATAAATTCTGGGGAAGGAAATTAATATTATGTATGAAATCATTCAAAAGTTTTTTCCTCAAAATAAACTATTTTATTTGAGATAAAAAGTCACATGCAGTTTTAAAAATTAAAATTCAATGCAGTCATCTTTTTTGTTCTTTTTATGTGTATATATATATTTTTTCAGTAGTTTTTGGGGAACAGGTGGTGTTTAGTTACATGGATAAGTTCTTTGGTGGTGATTTCTGAGATTTTGGTGCACTCATCACCCGAGCAGTGTACACTGTACCCAATGTGTAGTCTTTTACTTCTCACTCCCGTCTCATCCTTCCCCCAGAGTCCCCAAAGTTTGTTATATGATTCTTATGCCTTTGCCTCCTCATTGCTTAGCTCCCACTTATAAGTGAGAATATACAATGTTTGATTTTCCATTCCTGAGTTACTTCACTTAGAATAATAGTCTCCAACTCCATCTAGGTTGCTGCGACTGCCATTATTTCATTTATTTTTATGGCTGAATAGTACTCCACGGTATACTCCATGGTATGCGTGTATATAGGTATATATGCACACATATATGTGTGTAGATAGGTATATATGCACACATATATGTGTGTAGATAGGTATATATGCACACATATATGTGTGTAGATAGGTATATATGCACACATATATGTGTGTAGATAGGTATATATGCACACATATATGTGTGTAGATAGGTATATATGCACACATATGTGTGTATATGTGTGTGTATATACACATATATGTGTGTATATGTGTGTATGTGTGTATATACACACACATGTGTGTATATGTGTGTATATACACACGTGTGTGTATGCGTGTATATACACACACATGTGTGTGTATATACACATATGTGTGTGTGTATACACATATATGTGTGTATGTGTGTGTATATATACACATATATGTGTGTATATGTGTGTATATATGTACATATATACACTACGTATATATGTGTATATATACACACATATACACACATATGTGTAGATATGCATATATACACATACATGTGTATATGTACACATATATGTGTCATATACACACATACACACATATATGTGTCATATACACACATATACACACATATATGTGTCTATATACACACATATACACACATCTATGTGTCTATATACACATACACACATATATATGTGTATATGTATGTGTGTATATAGACACATATACATATATATGTGTATATATACATATATACATATATGCGTATATACACACATATGTGTGTATATGTCTATATACACATATGTGTGTGTATATACACACACATATGTGTATATATGTCTATATACACACATATGTGTATATACACACATATGTGTATATATGTGTATATATACACACACACACACATATATACATCACATATATATATATGATGATGATCGTCATTTAGGATGGTTTCATATTTTTTCAATTGTGAATTGTGCTGCTATAAACAGGCGGGTAAACGTGTCTTTTTCATGTAATAACTTTTCTCTGGGTAGATACCTAATAGTGGGAATGCTGAATAAAATGGTAGTTCTACTTTTAGTTCTTTAAGTAATCTCCATACTATTTTACATAGTGGTTGTACTAGTTTACATTCCCACCAGCAGTGTAAAAGTGTTCCCTTTTCACCACATCCATGCCAACATCTATTATTTGTTGATGTTTTAATTATGGCCATTCTTGCAGGAGTAGGGTGGTACTGCATTGTGGTTTTGATTTGCATTTCCCTGATCATTAGCGATGCTGAGCATTATTTCATATGTTTATTGGCCATTTGTCTACCTTTTTTTGAGAATTGTCTGTTCATGTCCATAGCCCACTTTTTGATGGGATTATTTGTTTTTTCTTGCTGCTTTGTTTGAGTTCCTCATAGATCCTGGATAGCAGTCTTTTGGTGGATGCATAGTTTGCAAATATTTTCTCCCACTCTGTGGGTTGTATATTTACTCACTGATTATTTCTTTTGGTGTACAGAAGCTTTTTGGTTTAATAAAGTCCTATCTATTTATCTTTGTTTTTGTTTCATTTGCTTTTGGGTTCTTAGTCATGGATACTTTGCCTAATTCAATGTCTAGAAGAGTTTTTCCAATGTTATCTTCTAAAATTTTTATGGTTTCAGATCTTAGATTTAAGTATTTGATCCATCTTGAGTTGATTTTTGTATAAGGTGAGAGACGATGATCCAGTTTCATTCTTCTACATGTGGCTTGCCAATTACCCAACATCATTTGTTGAATAGGGTGTCCTTTCCACACTTTGTTTTTGTTTGCTTTGTCAAAGATCTGTTGGCTGTATTTCTGGGTTCTCTATTCTATTCCATTGCTCTACATGCCTGTTTCTTATACCAGTACCATGTTAATTCAGTAACTGTAGCCTTGTAGTATAGTTTGAAGTTGGTTAATGGGATGCTTCCAGATTTGCTCTTTTTGCTTAGTCTTGCTTTGGCTATTTGGGCTCTTTTGTGGTTCCACATTAATTTTAGGATTGTTTTTTTCTAGTTCTTTGAAGAATAATGATGATATTTTGATGGGAACAGCATTGAATTTATAGATTGTTTTTGGCAGTATGTCCATTTCCACAATAACAATTCTACCCATCCATGAGTATGGGATGTGTTTCCATTTGTTCGTGTCGTCTATGATTTATTTATTTATATGTTTTTTAATTTTACTTTAAGTTCTAGGATACATGTGCAGAATGTGCTGATTTGTTACATAGGTATATATGTGCCATGGTGGTTTGCTGCACCTATCAACTTGTCATCTAGGTTTTAAGCCCCACATGCATTAGGTATTTGTCTTAATGCTCTCCATCCCCTTGCTCCTGACCCCCTGACAGGCTGTGGTATGTGATGTTCCCCTCCCTGTGTCCATGTGTTCTCACTGTTTAACTCCCACTTATGAGTGAGAACATGGGGTGTTAGTTTTCTGAGAATGATGGCTTCCAGCTTCATCCATGTCCCTACAAAGGACATGATCTCATTCTTTTTTATGGCTGCATAGTATTCCGTGTGGTATATGTGCCACATTTTCATTATCCAATCTATCATTGATGGGCATATGGGTTTGTTCCAAGTCTTTGCTATTGTAAATAGTGTTGCAGTAAACATACGTGTGCATGTGTGTTTATAGTCAAATGATTTATAATCCTTTGGGTATATGCCCAGTAACAAGATTGCTGGGTTAATGGTATTTCTGGTTCTAGATCCTGGAGGAATCGACACACTGTCTTCCACAATGGTTGAACTAATTTACACTACTACCACCAGTGTAAAAGTGTTCCTATTTCTCCACACCCTCGCCAGCATCTGTTGTTTCCTGACTATTTAATAATCATCATTCTAACTGGTGTGAGATGGTATCTCATTGTGGTTTTGATTTCCATTTCCCTAATGACCAGTGATGATGAGCTTTTTTTCTTATGTTTGTTGGCCACATAAATGTCTTCTTTTAATAAGTGTCTGTTCATATTCTTTGCCCACTTTTTGATGGGGTTGTTTGTTTTTTTCTTGTAAGTTTGTTTATCTTCCTTGTAGATTCTGGATATTAGCTCTTTGTCAGATGGGTAGATTGTAAACATTTTCTCCCATTCTATAGGTTACCTGTTCACTCTGATGATAGTTTATTTTGCTGTGCAGAAGCTCTTTAGTTTAATTAGATCCCACTTGTCAATTTTGGCTTTTGTTGCAATTGCTTTTGGTGTTTTAGTCATGAAGTCTTTCCCATGCCTATGTCCTGAATGGTATTGCCTAGGTTTTCTTCTAGGGTTTCTATGGTTTTGGGTTTTACATTTAAGTCTTTAATCCATCTCGAGTTAATTTTTGTATAAAGTGTAAGGAAGGGGTCTAGTTTCTGTTTTCTGCAAATGACTAGCCAGTTTTCCCAGCACCATTTATTAAATAGAGAATCCTTTCCCCATTTCTTGTTTTTGTCAGATTTGTTGAAGATCAGATGGTTGTAGATGTGTGGTGTTATTTCTGAGGTCTCTGTTCTGTTCCATTGTTTTATATCTATTTTGTTACAAGTACCATGCTGTTTTTGTTACTGTAGCCTTGTAGTATAGTTTAAAGTCAGGTAGTGTGATGCGTCCAGCTTTGTTCCTTTTGCTTAGGATTGTCTTGGCTATATGGGCTCTTTTTTGGTTCCATATGAACTTTAAAGTAGTTTTTTCTAATTCTGTGAAGAAAGTCAATGGTAGCTTGATGGGAGTGGCCTTGAATCTATAAATTACTTCAGGCAGTATGGCCATTTTCACAACATTAACTCTTCCTATCCATGACCATGGAATGTTTCTCCATTTGTTTGTATCCTCTTTTATTTCCTTGAACAGTGGTTTGTAGTTCTCCTTAAAGAGGTCCTTCACATCCCATATAAGTTGTATTTCCAGGTATTTTATTCTCTTTGTAGCAATTGCGAATGGGAATTCACTTATGATTTGGCTCTCTTTTTGTCTATTGTTGGTGTATAAGAATGCTTGTCAATGGCAACAAAAGCCAAAATTGACAAATGGGATCTAATTAAACTAAAGAGCTTCTGCACAGCAAAAGAAACTACCATCAGAGTGAACAGGCAACCTACAGAATGGGAGAACATTTTTGCAATCTACTCATCTGACAAAGGGCTAATATCCAGAATCTACAATGAACTCAAACAAATTTACAAGAAAAAAACAAACAACCCCATCAAAAAGTGGGTGAAGGATATGAACAGACACTTCTTAAAAGAAGACATTTATGCAGCCAAAAGACACATGATAAAATGCTCATCATCACTGGCCATCAGAGAAATGCAAATCAAAACCACAATGAGATACCATCTCACACCAGTTAGAATGGCGATCATTAAAAAGCCAGGAAACAACAGGTGCTGGAGAGGATGTGGAGAAATAGGAACACTTTTACACTGTTGGTGAGACCGCAAACTAGTTCAACCATTGTGGAAGTCAGTGTGGCAATTCCTCAGGAATCTAGAATTAGAAATACCATTTGACCCAGCCATCCCGTTACTGCGTATGTACCCAAAGGATTATAAAACATGCTGCTATAAAGACACATACATATGTATGTTTATTGCGGCACTATTCACAATAGCAAAGACTTGGAACCAAGCCAAATGTCCAACAATGATAGACTGGATTAAGAAAATGTGGCACATATACACCATGGAATACTATGCAGCCATAAAAAATGATGAGTTCATGTCCTTTGTAGGGACATGGATGAAGCTGGAAACCATCATTCTCAGCAAACTATCGCAAGGAGAAAAAACCAAATACCGCACGTTCTCACTCATAGGTGGGAATTGAACAATGATAACACATGGACACAGGAAGGGGAACATCACACACCAGGGGCCTGTTGTGGGCTGGGGAGAGGTCAGAGGGATAGCATTAGGAGATATACCTAATGTTAAATGACGAGTTAATTGGTGCAGCACACCAACATGGCACATGTATACATATGTAACAAACCTGCACATTGTGCACATGTACCCTAAAACTTAAAGTATAATAAAAAATAAAATAAAATAAAATCCATTGCATAACATACAAAAAAAAAAAAAAAGAATGCTTGTAATTTTTGCACATCGATTTTGTATCCTGAGGCTTTGCTGAAGGTGCTTATCAGCTTGAGGAGTTTTGGGGCTGAGACAATGGGGTTTTCTTTCTTTTTTTTCTTTTTTTTTTTGAGACAGAGTCTCACTCTGTTGCCCAGGCTGGAGTGCAGTGGCAGGAGCTTGGCTCACTGCAACCTCCACCTCCCGGGTTCAATTGATTCTCCTGCCTCAGCTTCCTGAGTAGCTGGGATTATAGGCACACACCACCACGCCTGGCTAATTTTTGTATTTTTAGTAGAGATGGGGTTTCGCCGTGTTGGGCAGGCTGGTCTCGAACTCCTGACCTCATGATCCACCCGCCTCGGCCTCCCAAAGTGCTGGGATAACAGGCGTGGGTCACCACGCCCTGCTGACAATGAGGTTTTCTAAATATATAATCATGTCATCTGCAAATAGAGACAATTTGACTTCCTCTCTTCCTCTTTGAATACCTTTATTTATTTCTCTTGCCTGATTCACCTGGCCAGAACTTCCAGTACTATGTTGAATAGGAGTGGTGAGAGAGGGTATCCTTGTCTTGTTCCAGTTTTCAAAGGGAATGCTTCCACCTTTTGCCCATTCAGTAATATATTGGCAATGGGTTTGTCATAAATAGCTCATTATTTTGAGATATGTTTCATCAATACCTAGTTTATTGAGAGATTTTAGCATAAAGCAATGTTGAATTTTATTGAAGGCCTTTTCTGCATCTGTTGAGGTAATAATGTTGTTTTTGTCATTGGTTCTGTTTATGTGATGGATTACATTTATTGATTTACATATGTTTAACCAGCCTTGCATCCCAGGGATGAAGCTGCCTTGACCATGTTGGATAAGCTTTTTGATGTGCTGGTGGATTTGGTTTGCCAGCATTTTATGGAGGATTTTCACATCAATGTTCATCAGGGATATTGACCTAAAGTTTTCCTTTTTTGTTGTGTCTCTGCCAGGCTTTGGTATCAGGATGATGCTGGCCTCATAAAATGAATTAGGGAAGAGTCCCTCTTTTTCTATTGTTTGGAAAAGTTTCAGAAGGAATGGTATCATCTCCTCTTTGTACCTCTGGTAGAATTTTGCTGTGAATCAATCTGACCCTGGCCTTTTTTTGTTTAGTACGCTATTAATTACTGCCTCAATTTTAAAACTTGTTATTGGTCTATTCATTTATTCTCACTTATACTATGTCACCCATCAAAGGCTATTTTGACCTATTGTATTGAAAAATGAATAGCAAACAAAAGACAGCTAATTTTAATGACTGCATCATTTGCTATTATACTTCCTAAAGGCAACTGTAATGAATGAATCTATGGCTTAGCTCAAAATAATAAAACTTGGAGGTAGGATATGAGGCAGAAATACAAGCAGGTGAGGAAGCATTTCAGAGTAGGATTCCTTTTCTTTGTCCCTTAAACCTAAGCACATAGACTCTTATTTCATCTAGTCTTGCATCTGACTTTGCTGGGAGAGCTACCTGACTTATTTAAGGTGTGGCTAATGTCTCATGTCATCACTGTTACCTAGATTGAGCAAGCTGCAGGGACACAGCAACTTCATTAAACCCTGAGACATCCTCTGGAGCTCTAGCGAGAGAAAGTCTCAGTTGCCCAGATGGTTCTTTTGGTTAAGAGTAAGGGAAATAATGCTTTTGGGTAATGTTGAAATAAGCAACTGCCAAATGGAGAAAGCAATGACCTATTTATGACATTCTAATCCAGGCATGTCTTTGGGCAAATGCTTGGATCAGAGATGTTCATTTAGGCACCATTTGGGGCACAAGAGAATGTGAGTGACGACTGCTTGGGAAGAAAATGGGAGGGTGTTTTCTGGTAAGGGAGGGAGGTTATTTCATAGATTAAATTCAGAACAGATGACTGTGACAAATAAGCTCAGGCATACATGGGCTTATCAAGTAAATGAGATGTATTATGCAATTTTTAAATAA